>NC_000002.12:49887321-50190352 GCF_000001405.40 Homo sapiens
AAATTGACAAATGGGATCTAATTAAACTAAAGAGCTTCTGCACAGCAAAAGAAACTACCATCAGAGTGAACAGGCAACCTGCAGAATGGGAGAAAATTTTTGCAATCTATCCATCTGACAAAGGGCTAATATCCAGAATCTACAAAGAACTTAAACAAATTTACAAGAAAAAACAACCCCATCGAAAAGTGGGCAAAGGATATCAACAGATACTTCTCAAAAGAAGTCATTTATGCAGCCAACAGATATATGAATAAATGTGCATCATCATTGGTCGTTAGACAAATGCAAATCAAAACCACAATGAGATACCATCTCACACCAGTTAGACTGATGATCATTAAAAAGTCAGGAAGCAATAGATGTTGGAGAGGATGTGGAGAAATGGGAACAATTTTACACTGTTGGTGGGACTGTAAATTAGTTCAATCATTGTGGAAGACAATATAGCGATTCCTCAAGGATCTAGAACCAGAAATACTATTTGAGCCAGCAATCCCATTACTGGGTATACACCCAAAGGATTATAAATCATTTTACTATAAAGACACATGCACACGTATGTTTATTGTGGCACTATTCGCGATAGCGAAGACTTGGAACCAACCCAAATGTCCATCAATAATAGACTGGATAAAGAAAATGTGGCACATATATACCATGGAATACTATGCAGCCATAAAAAAGGATGAGTTCATGTCCTTTGCGGGGACATGGATGAAGCTGGAAACCACCATTCTCAGCAATCTATCACAAGAAGAGAAAACCAAAACCACATGTTCTCACTCGTAAGTGGGAGTTGAACAACGAGAACACATGGACATAGGGAGGGGAACATCACACACTGTCAGAGGATGGGGGGCTAGGGGAGGGATAACACTAGGAGAAATACCTAATGTAGGTGACGGGTTGATGGGTGCAGCAAACTACCATGCCACGTGTATACCTATGCCACGTGTATACCTATGTAACAAAACTGCACTTTCTGTACATGTACTCCAGATCTTTAAGCATAATTTAAAAGAAATTCTACAATTTCTCTTCCTGTCTTCTGTGCAATTTTTGTCCTGTATTTTTCTTCTACATTTTATAAATTCCAGAATACATTGTTGTTATTTTTGCTTTATATATTTAATTATTTTAATAAGATTTTTAAAAATCAAAATTAGTTCTATATGTATTCACATATTGGCCATTTCCAGTGCTCTTTATTTCTTTGTGTAAATCTAAATTTCCGTGTAGCCTCATTTTATTTTCTGCCAAAATAATTTTATTTAACATGCTTTTTGTATGGATTTGCTGGTGATAAATGTTCTCAGTTTTGCTTGTCTGCAAAGGTCTTTAACTTTAATTTTTGAAAGGTATTTTTTGTTGTATATAGAATTCCAAATTGACAGCTGGTTCACTCTGCCCTCACAATATTTAAATATATTATTCATTGTTTTCTGACATGCTTGACCTCCAGTGAGAAATATGCTGTCATTCCAATCTCTGTTCCTCTGAATATATTGTTTCCTTTTCTCTGGCTGCCTTTTTTTAAATGCCAGAATTTCTCACAAAACAGTCAAATATACCTGTTTAAAGACAGAAGGTAAAATAGCGCTAGTTTTGTCTTGTGCAAATCCATAGACTGCCACCAGTAGACAGAAAGGAGCTCAATAAGAATACTCTGACTACTTTAATGTTTTTTCTTTATTACTGGTATTCTTCAAATTGAGTATGAGGTGTCTTGGTTTGGTTTTCCAAATATTTGTTATGTTGGAGATTATTTAAGTTCTAAAGTTTGTAGTTCACCAAATTAGAAAGTGTTCTTCATTATGTATGTCTGCCCCCCACCTCAAACTTCCTTTCCTTCTGAAATTCCATTATCTGTATGTTAGCTCACTTATTGTTGTTTTATATTAGAGATATCCTGCTTGCTTTTATCAATGGTGTTTCCCTCTATATTTCATTTCCCATGGTTTCTATTGCTATGTAATTAATATTTTCTTTTGTATTTTCCAATCCACTATTAATCTCATTCAGCTTATTTCTTATTTTAGATTTTTTTGACTTACAGAAGTCTGTTTTGTAATATTAAAAAAAAATCACATTTTTGATTGTCATGCTGTGCTTTTCTTTACATTCTCAAACATAGAGAACACATTTGTAATACTTCTGTTAAAGTCCTTATCTGCTGATTTTATCATTTATGCCATTTCATGTTCTGTTTTTTCCAATTTGTATCATATTTTTCTGCTTCTTTGCATCTCTAGCTGTTTTGTATTGCATGCTAGAATTCAGATGCTAAATTCCTTGAATTGCTTTAGATATTTATTTTTAGTTTTCTGGAATATAACTAATTTAGTTTGCATTATTTTATGAGGCTTGCTTTTAAGTTTTCATAGGCGGGTTCAGGGCAGCCTTTAATCTAAAGCAAATTTAACCCCATCATTAAATGGACATACCTTTTGGCGAATTCTATCCAATGTCTCATTTTAATAGGTCTTCACACACTGGCTGGTAGAAATATGGGCAGAAATATTTCCTGGACCTATATGATAACTGTGCATTGTTCTACCTGCTTTCTAATGTTCTTACCCTGGTATGAGATAGTTTCCTCATGTGAATATGCACTCATTATGTAGTCATGAATTTGGTGGAATCCCTCTGCAAATCGACAGATCTTTTCACCCTGTCTGTAATTACCTTCCTCTCTATTCATTTTCTCAGAAATTCAAATTAGCTTGACCTCCCTGAACTATCTCCTCAACTCTGAGACTGCTCACTTTATTTGAGCCTCTTCTCCTTGACTGTGGCCTAGAAACTCTTTTCAGACAGTAGACTGCAACAATTAGAGGACTCATTTTCATTGTTTGTTATTTTTTTTTCTTTTCAATAGACTTTATCTTTTAGATTAGTTTTAGGTTCACAACAAAATGGTGCAGAAAGTACAGAGAATTGCCATATATCCTTGTCTTCCACACATCCACAGCTTCCTCCAACTCTTAACATCTCACCAGGGTTGTGCATTTATTAGAACTAATGAATCTGCACTGTCACTCCACTATCAACCAAAGTTCACAGTTAACAAAGGGGTTTATGTTTGATGTATATTTCATGGGTCTGGACAAAGACACATGTATAATGACATGTACCCATCAGTATAATATCATGCAGAGTATTTTCACTGTTCTAAAAATCTTCTGTGCTCCACCTATTCATTTGTCCACCCATCTCCAACTCAACTACTTCAACACTCACAACACTAAGATCCTCTGATACTTTTACTGTTCCCATAGTTTTGCCATTTCCAGAATTTCGTATAGTTGGAATCATATGATATGTATCCTTCTCAGATTTGGCTTCTTTCACTCAGTAATATGCATTTAAGTTTTATCCATGTCTTTTCATGGCTTCATAGCTTATTGATTTTCAGTGCTGAATAATATTTCATTGTCTGGATTTATAACAATTTACTTAACTAATTGTTGAAGAACATCTTGGTTGCCTCCAAGTTTTAGCAATTATGTGTAAAGCTGCTATAAACATGTGTGCAAGTTTTTGTGTGGACATAAGTTTTCAACTCCTTTGGGTAAATACCAAGGAGTATAACTGCTGGATCATATGGTAAGTGTATGTTTAGTTAGGTAAGGAACTGCCAAACTTTCTTCCACAGGGGTTGTACAATTTTGCATCCCCATCAGCAACAAATGAGATTTTTCTATTGCTCCACATTATTGAGTTGTGAATATTTTGAATTTGGGCCATTCCAATAGGCATGAGTGATATCTTATTGTTTTAATTTGCCTTTTCCTAATGATATGTAATATGTAGCATCTTTTCATATGATTATTCATTCTCTGTTTATTTTTTGGTGAGATTGTTAAGATCTTTGGCCCATTTTTAATTAGGTTGTTCATTTTCTTATTGTTGAGTTTTAAGGGTTTTTGGTATATTTTGGACAAGAGTCCTTTATCTGATATACCTTTGGCAAATATTTTTTTCTAGTTTTTTTGTTCTCTTGAGAGTGTCTTCTGCAGAGCAGAAGTTTTTTTGTTGCTGTTGTTTTTAACTGTTATTTTAGGTTCAGGTACATGTGCAGGTTTGTTATATAGGTTAACTAATGTCACAGGGGTTTGTTGTGATTAATTAAGTACTAATCTTATGAATTATGCCCTTAGTGCTATATCTAAAAAGACATTTTCATGATTAAGGCTATCTAGATTTTCTTCTATGCTGTCTTCTAGCAGTTTTATATTTTTACATTTTACATTTAGGTCTCTGATTCATTTTGAATTAATTTTTGCAAAGAGCATGAGGAGTGTATCTAAGTATACTTTTTTTTGGATGTGGATAACCAATTGTTTCAGAACCATTTGTTTAAAAGACTATCTATGCTCTATTGTATTGCCTTTTCTCCTTTGTCACAGATTACTTAACCATATTTATGAGAGTTTGTTTCTGGGCTCCCTATTCTGTTTCTTTGATCTAATTGTCTGTTTTTATACCAATATCACACTGTCTTGATTGCTGTGACTTTATAAAAAGTCTTGAAGTCATATAATACTCTTCCTAATTTATTATTCTCCTTCAATGTTATGTAGGCTATTATGGGTATTTGACACTCTATAAAAACTTCACAGTCAGTTTTCAATATCCACTTGCTGATATTTTTATTGGGATCACATTGGACCCATAGATCAAATTGGGAAGAAACTGACATCTGGAAAGAACTGATGTCTTGACAATATTGGGTCTCTAAATCCATGAACGTGGAATATTTCTTCATTTATTTAGCTCACTGGTTTCATTTATCAGAGTGTTATAGTTTCCCTCATATTGATCTCACACATTTTTTGTTAGATTTATACATAATTATTTCATTTTGGGGGGATGATAGTGTAAATGGTAATGTGTTTTTAATTTCAAGTTTCACTTGTTCATTGTTAATATTTAAGAGAGCAATTAATTTTTGTATATTAATCTTATATCCTGCAGCTTTGCTATATTTGTGTATTAGTTTCAAGAATTATTTTGCTGATTATTTCTTAAATTTTCTTCATAGCTAACTATGTCATCTGTAAATAAAGACATTTTTATTTCTCCTTTCTCAATCTTAATATCTTCTATCTTTTTTTTTTTTGTCTGTCTTATTGCATTAGCTAGGATTTCCAGTACAATGTTGAAAGGAAGTAATGACAAGGTATGTTTCCGCCTTGCTCCTGAACAGGAAAGTTTCTAATTTCTTATCATTAGGTATGATGCTATCTGTAGGTTGTCAGTGTTCATTATTCAGTTGATAAAGTTCCACCTTGTTCCTGTTTTTCTGAGAGTTTTAATAATGAATGGGTATTTAATTTTGTCAAATGCTTCTTCTGCATCTACTATGTGATTTCTAATTTAGCCTGTGGGTGAGATTTATTACATTAGTTGATTTTTTAATGTTGAACTGACCAAATATACTGGGTATAAATCCAACTTGACTGTGGTATATAATTCTTTGCATATATTGTTGGATTCAATTTGCTAATATTTTGTTGAAGATTTTTACATCTATCATCATGAGAGATGTTGATCTATAGTATTCTTCTCTTGTAATGTCCATGTCTAGTTTTGGTATTGGGAAAATGCTGGCCTCACACAATGAGTTAGAAAGTACTCTTTTTGCTTCTATCTTCTGTAAGAGATTATAGATTATTGGTATGATTTATTACTTAATGTTGTAGAATTCACCATTAAGCCCACCTGGATTTGTTGCTTTTCCTTTTGGAAGGTAATTAATTTTTGGTTGAATTTCTTAACAGATAAAGGTCGATTCAGATAAACTATTTCCTCTTGTGTGAATTTTTACAGTTTGTGTTTTTCAAGGAATTCATCCATTTCATTTAGGTTATCAAATTTGTGGGCCTAGAGTTGTTCATACTATCCCTTTATTATTCTTCTAATGTCCTTAGGATATGTAGTAATGTCTCCTCTTCCTTTTTTCCTTTCAGGAAACACTGTACAAAGCTGCCCATTTTTCAACATCTGAAGGTGATCATATTAATATTTAGTAAAGTTTTCTAGGTTATATAAGATGAAGGTTAAATCTACTTCCTGTTATACCATGATGGATACAGAATTCATCTGTGTTCAAATCTTTTGGAAATTCTGCAATTAAGTTAGGTTGGTACCTCTCAGAATTTCTTCTTAAATCCTGAGTTTAAAATGGGAAAAGCCTCCACTATTCACTTGAGAATCTGTTATAATTTGATTATCACTTCTTTGTGTTTTCCCATTAGCTATTACAAATATTTTCTCTACATTTCAGTGTTTTATAGTTTTTGCTTTGATTTATCTTGGAATTCATTCAGATTCCTCTATGTGAGTATTGGTGTGTTTCAAAACTTCTGTAAAATTATCAAACTTTACCTCTTTGACTATTGCATATTCACGTTCTTTCTAGTGTATATTTCTGGAGCTCCAATTAGACAAGCATTTCTAATTATTTTTCTTTTTGCAATTGATTCCTCTGGAAGTCTGGCAAGGACTAAGAACATCTTCACATACTAATATTTTTAAGTGCTTAGTAAAAAAAATTATAGGATGGCAAAAAAAGCAAACAAATTCGTGACATATTAATATATTTACATCTTCACTAAAATAATGAAACAAAGCTCTGACTAATTAGTAAGTGTGGTCCAATAACTACCATAGTTTCTGAATAATGATTAGTATAAACAATATCTTGAGACGCCTACAACAAATGTAATGTGATATAAAAATAGTAGTCATGTTTTATGGTGAAAGATACTGGCAATATTATTGTGATTTGTTCTCTACATGAATAATTGAAATAAATGTTGAATTTCATTTGGATCTTAGTCAAAATAAATTTAATTTTCCATGCTTGTCACAGACTCCCTGGTTTCTATCCATAAACACTTAAATGGTTGTGTATCTCATGATAAGAACCTCTAAAATGACATTACTTAATGCCTTTTTGCTCTTTCAACTCAGCCTTTTAAGCCCTATGTTATACTTTTCTTTTCTTTTTCTCTACTATATACTGGATAATTTCTTCATATTTAGTTTGCAGTTCACTAACTCTCATTTAAACTGGTTGTAATTCCATGCATTAAATTTTTTATCTCGAATCTTATTTTTCATATCCAAAAGTTGTAGTTTTTTTCTCTATCTAGTTATCTTTTTAATAATGTCCTTCAAGATTTTCATTTTTCCTCTCTAAATATTTTTTTCACATTTTTTGTCTGACATTTTTATAAAAATTTGAGAATTTACAATCTTTATATATCTGAGTTTAACTGATTTTTTTTTATTTATTGCACATTGTTTTCTCCTATTATTTACAACTTCATTTTTTCTATAACTTTATGTAGCTTATTTGAGAACTGAGTTTTTAATGTATGTTTTTCTAAGGAGAATGGAATTGGTTCTTTTGTAAACCAGAGCACTACTGATCTGAGATCACTATAAATTAAATTTGGGGGTTGTGTTGGACTACACATGTTTTGTGAATAATATTCCATATCCTTGTTAGAGTAGTTTCTTTCTTTGAGACAGAGTCTTGCTGTGTCACCAGGCTGGAGTGCAGTGATGCAATCTCGGCTCACTGCAGCCTCCACCTCCTGGGTTCAAGCTATTCTCGTGTCTCAGCCTCCCAAGTAGCTGTGATTACAGGCATGCACCACCATACCTGGCAAATTTTTGCATTTTTAGCAGAGATTTGGTTTCACCATGTTGGCCAGGCTGGTCTCAAACTCCTGACATCAAGTGATTGACCTGCCTCAGCCTCCCAAAGTGCTGGGATTACAGGTGTGAGCCAATGTACCTGGCCTAGTTTCTGATTACAAATTCATAGGGAAGATTTTTTTTCAAATATAGCCAAGGAAATGATAAGCGTTTTTGGAAACCACATCTCTTTGTGGTATGAGTTATTTTGTTTGTTTGATTTGTTTTTCTAGTCTTCCCATATTTAATGTATTTTCTTAAATTGACAGATAAAATTGTATGTATCATATACAATATTTTGACATATGTATGCACTGTAGAATGACTAAATCTTGCTAATTAACATGTGCATTACCTGACATAGTTATCATTTTCATGGTAAGAATACGTTACACATTTTTCAAGAATATGATATGTTGTTACCTATAGTTACCATGTCATACAATAGATCTCTTAAACTCATTCCTTCTATGTGATTGAAATTTCCACTACCACTGTTCCCATAGTAGTTTAGGTGAGGTCACAGCTTTATGTGGAATACTTTGATCTACTGTCTTGCCTTCTTCAAGCCCTAGGTTGAGTCTCCTGTTCCCTGTACAGCCTCTTAATCTGACAATCTAAAGATCTAGGTAACCAAAGACTGCATGATGACCCCAGGCAACTGCCTGCTTCTGTGCTTTCTTATATGTCCAGGTTCATGTTTTCTCATTGATTTAGTCAAGGGATAACTTTTTGTTACTCTTCCTCTCATCTATGTATTTAAAAGATAATATGAAGTACTTTATCTAACATTTTTATTTGTTTCTGTTTTTAACCAGATGGGTTGCTCAAGAGTTCTAATATGTCATGCTGTTGGAAACAAATGATTTTTAAGCAAGGGTAGACATATGTAATAAGATGTTCATTTTAGAAAAATTATGAAAGTAGAATTAGGAAATATGGTATAAAGGGTGAGAGTATGATGGTAGATGGGATCATTTCTTAGGAGACTCTTACAGGAATCAATCAGAAGATAAAAAGACACTAAACTGAAGCAATAATGTTGGGTGGGGGAATGGAAGAGTTGCCTGCTAGAGATACACTGAGGGTAGAAAGTTCTTTGCAACCTTGTGACTGTAAGAAAGGATAAGCTATCTTGAATGATTACAACTTTTCAGCCATTTATCTTGTACATTGCAGTTATTGACAGTGACTTTTATTAAGACACACCATTTTGGGAATGTCCATGGAAACTCTTCTCCTGGTGCACCACATACATATTAAATATCTATGGACTTGTTAGAGTTAGAATAGAAATTCATATATTCTATTCTTTCATTACTAACTTGAGAGAGAGAGATATCCATTCACATTTCCACATGCTATCTCAAGAAGCTTGGGTTACCATCTCCAAAGATTGAAAGAAGGGTGAAAGACCAAGCTAAAGATGAAGGAGAAGACTGCATGCAGGCTATAAAATATGTATGCACAGATACGCTTACCAGAAAATTATTCGTAATTTGATGTCTTCATTACTCTTTTTCTGTTAACATCTTCCATTCAGCCTAAGAATGAATAAACCCAAATCAGTGAATGCTAATAAAAGTACATTTGTGATTTACCTGATAATGGTGTAGTAATCATTATCTGAAGGGTCAACTATCTCCTAGCTGAATAAAAGTGAGAAACAAATTAGAGAAGAAAAATTCTAGGTTGATTTTCAGTTTTATGTCATTGTAATTTAGCTCAAGTTTTTTTTTTTCTCTCCATGAAACCTTTATAATTAAGAAACGATTTTCAGTCCTCTTTTTTTTCTACTCAGTTCTATTGGATAATTTAAAAATCTGTTTGTCGTTGCTTCAGAAAGTAAAAATTCCAGACGCTTTGTGTGCTGATTAACATCTAAGAAATCTATAAAGTTTAATTAGGAAAAAAATGAACAATAAAGTTTTATTCACCCTGCTAAATTTTAGTGGCTAACGTACTGCTTTATTTTCCATAGCTTTACTTCTTTGCAATCCTAAAAAGGCTTGAAAATTCTCATTAGGGAAACATGTTTTTACTTTGCATATGTTGAGTGGTAGAAAGTACAATAAAGGATTAGATTCGTTGGTTTTGTTTCTTTTTTAATGCTTAGAATTTAAGCAATTGTTCTTAATATCCATTTTCAGTATTTTATTACATCCAACCTAATATCTTATTTTTTTCCTGTGTTTAGGTGTTACCTCCTGAACTAAAGTAGAAGATCATGATGGACAGAATCTAGTTTAATTTAAATGCCTTCACTAGTTTTTAGGGTAGTGGGCATGTATAAGCAGAATTATTTGAAAAGTGAGAAATTAATAAATTGGAGAGTAACTGAAATTCCTCTCCTATTAACCACTATGTAGGGGACTCCCAACACGGAAATTTCTTGATGGTAAGCTTTAATACATCTTTATATTTGACTCACATTTTATAATTAAACATATACGTTCCTTTCTTTTCTTATGTAACACTATCTTTTAAATTATTAAAAGCTCTAATAAGTTAGAAAGACAGGTATCCCTCCCTCCATTTGATGGATGAAGACATTAAGATTTAAAGTAATGAAGTATATTAGTCACAGTTCCCCTGAGAAATTGAACCCATAGAATGGAACTGACTTCCATGATTATGAAGTCTGAGAAGTCCCACTGTCTGCCCTCTGCAATCTGGAGACCCAGGAAAGCTGGTGGTATAGTTCAGTTTGAATCTGAAGGCCTGAGATCCAGGTTAGCAAACGGTATAAATCCACTCCAAGGAGAAGAGAATGTGATGCAAGATGTCCCAAGCAGACAGGCAGGAAGCAAAAGGGGCAAATTTATCCTTCTTCTGCCTTTTGTTCTATTCGGGCCCTCAATGGGTTAGATAATGCCTACCCATATTGGAGAGGGGGAATCCATTTTAACGAGTATGTGGATTCAAATGATAATCTCATCTGGAAGTACCCTCAGGGACACACCCAGAAATAATGTTTAATCACAGCACCCTATCGCCAGTCAGGTTGACACATAAAATTAATCACACAAAGTCATCTACTTCCCTTGAAAATAAGCACAAAATTAGAAAGAAGAACACAGGATTCCTGGTTTCAGAATGGTAATTCAGACATTATAGCACAGATTTCAAGACATATTTTAGGAACTGGCTGAAATACAGAAGCATATTACATCTCCTAGATGATTGAGAAAAGGTTTGATTTTACAGTACTTGTATTTCAAATGGCCTCAAGATTAAATATAATGTAATATCTATTTTTAAGTGAGTATGTCTAAGTATCTTATGAGTTTCAAAAGACTGGCAATATTAGACTTTATTGATAAAAAAGTGGTAACAAAACAGGGTGATCTCATCAAAGAGGAATTGTACAATGGAAGAGTGCATTCACACTAGCAACTTAAAATTGCATTATGAACTATGACATGAGACAGCATTAAAAGCTTTATACATTTAGTACTCAATGATGACAGTCATTGTGAAGGTGTCCATTCATTTACTGTTTGTGAAATTATAAATTGATACAATTTTTTAAACAGAATGATAAACATTAAAGAACATTGATGATTTTCATCTTTAGCATTTCTAGTCTTATACATTAATCTTAAGTAAATAATTTAGTAAAAAATAAACATCTGAAGTGATCAAACAGCAATCTGTAATGGTATAAGAATATTAGGGAAAGTCTAAGTGTATGACAAAAATTATTTTAAAATTCATTGTGTATCAATACAAATAAAATGCTATTTAGTCAACAATGACTATCATAAAATATACGACAATATGGACTGTATTAGTCTGTTCTTACACTGCTATAAAGAACTACCTGAGACGGGGTAATATATGAAGAAAAGAGGCTTAATTGACTCACACTTCTGCATGGCTGAGGAGGCTTCAGGAAACTTACAATCATGGCAGAAGGCGAAGGTGGACCAAGGTACATCTTACATGGTGGCAGGAGAGAGAGCAAGAGAGGGGGAAGTGCTTTACTTTTAAACCATCAGATCTCCTAAGACTCACTCACTATCATGAGAACAGCAAGAGCGAAGTCCTGCCCCATGATCAAATCACCCCCCACCAGGTCCCTCACTCGACACACAGGGATTACAATTTGAGATGAGATTTGGGTGGGGACACAAAGCCAAACCACATCATGCAGCTATTTGCAATTTGTAACACAACTATGAAAGGGCACTGGAGTTTGGAATAAGTGTATGTTCACTCTTCTAGTAAAAGATTGAACCTAGTGTTTTACATTACCAAGAAGTACCATTCACTAAATCTTCCAGCCATGTTTAGGGTGGGGCATTTTTTTCAATTCTGTTGTGTTCTTTCCTCCTTCCTGGCGTGCACCACTATGTTACATCTTGCTGGTGAACATGCTAGTCTCTTGTTTTCATGTATGCAACATCTAACAGTAATAAACACACCAAACATTTATACAAGTATGAGATGTTCTCTTTGCTTGAAGTTAGGGCACCACTTCTTTCCATAAATGGCCTACTTGCCCATGAGAAAATGTTGTCACCTAGCAGAGAAAGGCAAACCCTGGATGGTTCATGTTACTCCAATATACTATAGAGGAGTGTATGAGCCCTGACCATAGCATTACCCTTCCAAACAGATTCTGTGTATCTGCTGCTGCTTGGTTATCTCAGAACATTGCTGTGACCATGCTGTGACCACACTGCATGACCATCTCAGCAGCTCTGCTGATGTCTTGACTCCTTGCCTGACTTCACAGCCTGCAGAAGGGCAGGGCCAGCATGATGACCTGTTTGTGAGGTCAGAGCAGTGATTAGTTAAGAATCACTAGCACGTGAAGATGTAAGTTGTTTTGAAGCTTCCATTTTCTCCTTCTCTTCAAAATCACTCAAGTTGATCACAACTAGCACAGGAGGCCTGTGTTGAGTTTAGGTGTTACCCCCAGGTGCATAGTATTGTCATCAGAGATTTTCTTCAATCACTAAAGGGAGAAATATCGAACCAGGGATGCATTCTCAGCATTCACCAAGTCAATCAGGAAACCCCATGGAGAAAAGGATTTTTTCCTCTGGTGGAAAGTAGATAATGCTCTAAATTTCTCTCCAGGAAAAGATGAAAAAGGAAGAACAGATTAAAAGGAAAAGGTTTCTGAAAGGTAACATAATCTTCAAATATGGAGGGGGAGGGGGAGAGAGGGAAGATATTTAACCTGCAGCCACCTCTCTGCAGTGCTTCCGCAGAAAGCACAGCTCAAAACTCGTCAGCATCCTTCTTTGCAGAGCTTCACTTATTTTCTTAACCTCATTCTAACTTTGACCCATTCCTTTTGTTGAGTCAAAAGGATCCAGTAGGAACCAAGAATAATTTAGAAGTTTTTTTGCTTTCTAGAGTGAAAGTTTCTTGAGAAAAGGAAATGAATCTGTCATGTTTGCCTCCACGTGCCAGGTGCTTAAAAAGAGTCTGACACATAAGAGGGTCTTATTTGTTGAATGAAATGAATGCGTCCACCCACAATTCTGTTTGAACCATTTTGCCTTACAATACATGAGTCAAAGTTTGAAGCAAGAGTGAAAAAGAGCTGGAAACCCTGTACTGTCCTTCAGCCACTTAGAGAGAAGTGAGGTGAAGGACTGAAACAAAAGGGGCACAAGAGAAATTGGTAAGCAGAAAGAGGAGAGAAATCGAAGGAGATGAGAACACGAAGAAAATACATCCCCTCAGATTATAGAAGTAAATCCTTAAGACATGAACCATCATACTGGATACTTTCCTCCTCATTCTTAAAGATTATATTCAGGAAAAAAACAATTGGCCAGGCTAATGGAGAAAGCGAGAGAGGAGAAAGAGAGAGAGAGAGAATTAATTTTTCCCCATGGAAACAAAGCGGTTACCCTTTATTTCTGTACTTACAGGTGACACTCTGAAACTCTCACCGGGATGCGGATAATCTAAACCACATTTCTTGTCATTTCTTGTGTCGCTATTTGTGGTGATTGAGGTTTATAAGTTTTATAAAGAAACCCATTTCGCCTTTACCAAGGGCTTAAAGTAAAGTGGGTTCTGGTGATGTTAGTGAAATGATTTGGACATGGCTTCCTTGAACCTATATTGAAAAACAAGATAAAAATATTCTCTTTGCAGGCATTGTCTAAGAGAGGTTTTTTCTTTTACCTGATTTTTTCCTCATCCCTGTGCCAGACTGAATTAAATTATTGTATCAACATTTTGTATTCTTGCCAAGAAACCCTAAGGCCAGTGGCAACATTTTTAATAAAAGGATCCAATCAAATAAATAAATGATTTGGATGGCAAAGGGCAAAAAAAGTTACAGATAAAACTCTGAAAGGCTTTTGGCTCAGCTCAAATTGAAAACTGCATAATCAGCAGATTTCTGGAGGTTTTCAGGTTATGAGACAAGGTTTTTACATTGCACTAATTACGGCTGGAGTTAAAGAAACATAAAACAGAATAAAGGAAAAGCAAAAAATAATGATGGGAAAGTTGGCCACAGCTATCCCTCTCAAAAGCCTCATTTCTCATGACAAAATGCTTGAAAAGTAGCTCTTTATGGTGGTTTGTAAGAATGAGCAATTTAGAAAGCTCTGTGTCTCTCTCTTTTTTTAACCATAGTCATTCTTTTTGCCTTGGGGTAGAAAGTGGGTTTCATTTTTTTCTTTTCATGGGCAAACATGGCTTGATGCCTTTTTAATTCTTCTAAGTGCACTGGTGTGCCCTTGAGCCATTTCTTAAAGTGTTCTTGGTTTAGTACCAGCAACACACACACACACACACACACACATTGTTTAGGGACTACAAACACTCATTCCAACATTTTTACTTTGTGAATTTGTTAACCGTTCAGCATGGATTAGCTTCTACAAGCATAAAGCAACGGCAGCGGCATGGTTCCATATATTGCTTCTCAAGTATTGCCTGGTTTAAAAAAGTTTTACCATCTGTTCTGACTTAAGCCAGAGCTGAATTAAGAGGATAAGCTTTCACTGTTGCTTCTGTTACTGTGTGGTATTATTATATTTTAGAAAAGGGAAGGAGGTGAGAAGGCAAAATAAATCTATATAAAGTCACCAAGAGAATAGAAAATGAAAATTCTCTTTTGCCAACTAGTGATATTATTTTTGTACTTAGCCATGAAGGGTACTTCATTACTCCTCAGTAAGTCTGATTAAAAAGAAGTTGAACTAGCCTCATGAAAATACCAGTAAATCAATGAGTCAAATATTTATCAAATTTCTTCTGAGTTTCAGTATTGAATAGGAATAAAACCATATCCTTTGCCTCAACATGGATGAAGCTGGAAATCACAATCCTAAGAGAACTAACACAGGAACAGACAAACAAATACCACATAGTCTCACTTATAAGTGGGAGCTAAACATTGAGAACACCTGGACACAGAGGACCAACAGACGCTGCAAACTACTAGAGGGGAGAGAGAGGGAGGGGGCTGTGCATTGAAAAACTATCTGTTAGCTACTATGCTCACTATTTGGGTGCAATATACAAATGAAACAAACCTGCACATGCAGTACTTCTATCTAAAATAAAATTTGAAAATTTTTAAAAAGTTGATTGTTGCCCTCAAGGAACTCACATTGTAATTGTAGCTGGGGTGCTGAGATATACATATATGAAATGAATTAAAAAGACTATCCAAATTAGAAGCAAAGGCATCTGGACACAATAACTATCACTGGAGCTATGAAATAGAAAAAGTAAGATTTTGATACTGCCAACTGTTTATTGCTTATGACTGATACTATTAACTGTATGCATTATGTCTTAACAAATATGATTTTAAATTGTTTTAAGATACATACATAACATGGTACTGGATTCTTCTAATTAACCAGGAAAAACCAAAGAGAAATTCTATGTGTGTAGCCTAAGGGGCACATGGACAGGCTACTTCATGGAAGCAAGGATTTGAATAGGTACATTTTTGTGATCTGTCTCAACCCTTGGTTGAGACCCATTAAAACCACCTGGATAGCTTTTATAAATTAACAAATGTACACATTATTAATTAATTAGTAAATTACCTTATTAGAAAATTAACATTCCTGGGCCCTACCCAAGACCCAGGGATGAGGCCTGAGCAGTAGCAGTCGTTAAGAGTTCACCAGGTGCTTTTAATGAGCTGCTAGGGTTGAGACTCTGTGCATTAAGTAATTAGATCCAGACCTTATTTGAATAATTCTTTTCTGTCTTAAACTTGTGAATTTATTGTCTTTAATTCAACTCATTCAACTCTGACTTTTGAAGATTATTGCTTAAAAAAAAAGTTTCTCTAGAAATTTTTTTTTTTTTAAGAAAAATACTCTTAACATGTACTTAGTTGCCAAATGCCCAGAAGTCATCTTTTGTTTATTCTTTTTCTCACCAGTTTTTACATCAAATCCATTAGGTAGTTATCTACATTTTACTTCTAATACATATGTTTAATCCATTCATTTCTTCCCATCTCCACTCCATCTCCTTGTTTTGGCAAACCTCTCAAGGTTATTTGCTGATTTTATTTTGTTAAATTTAGAATAAAATCTTAACCACTTAATATGACCTGCAATGCTTTGCATAATCTGGCACCCCATGGCGTTTTCAACCCAATTTCTTATCATTCCTCACTAGTCCCTATTTGTTTCTCTCCAGGATTCCATTTACAACTTGCTATTCTGTTTGTGGTTTTAGAAACTTCATGTGTTTCTCCAGGCTGGATTACCAACACATAGCACAGCAGAATGTGACCATCCAGTATGCTAAGTAAGACATTCTCCCTTGCACATTTTCTCCCTACTGATGTTTGTAGAGCAGACAGGGGAGATGGTAATACTTGTAATGTCTTGGTTCATAATCAAATACATTTTCTTGTTTGTACCAACTATCTAGTTTTTTTTTTTTAACGATTATTCAATCTTTGTTGCATTCTTCTATATCAACTTCCCCACTTCTGGTTTCTTTGTTTCTTTCCTCTCAAATACACATTAACCTCAATATAGAGTATATATACATGGGCATTGAATTGTTGGGTTGTTAAAGAGTATACAGCTTCACATTTGCTAAATAAATGCCAAATCGTTTTTGAAGTGTTTGTTCCAATTTACTTTCTCACTGGAGGTGGCTAAAAGTTTAGTTAACCCTGTGTTACCCATCTGTCTTCATCCATCCCTGATACTATCAAATTTTTCACATTTTGTAGTCTGCGTTTTGTACAATTTCATACCTATGAAATTGTATCTTAACATAGACTTAGCTCTATTTCCCTGATTACTAATGAGCTTGAGTAATGTTCTCATGTGCTTACTGGGAATTTATATTCTCTTGTGAAGTGCCTATTTACATGTAAGCTTTTTTTTTAATTGACTTAGAAGTTTTAGTATTTTATGTGTATCAATTATTTATCAATCCCATGTATTGCACATTTCTTTGTCTAATCTATGGTATATCCATTCACATTTTAATGATTTTGTTAAATGTTATGAACAGAAGGTATTATAATTTAATAAATGTATCAATCTTTTTATTTATAATTTGTGATGTTGAATCACTTTTTGAAAGAAAGCCTTAATTATCAAGCAGTTACAACTATATTATCTTATAAATGTTTCACCCTTTTGGCTTCACGTTTAAATCTTTAGTGCACATGGAATTGACTTTTATATCTGTCAGGAGGTTAAGTCTAGTTGCATAATTTTTCCATGTGAATAATCAATTGTCCAAGAACAAATTCTTTTCTTTTGCCTCTGATCTCAATTGCCAGTTATCATAAATCTTGTTTCAAACTGTGTGGATTTGATTGTTTCATTTCATTGCTCTACTTATCGAAGCCTGCACCAATTCTATGTGTCTCAAAAATGGCTGCTTTATACCTGGTAGTCATGTCAGCCAACTTTGCTTTTTTTTTCAGGAGTCTCTAGGCTATATTTGACCCTCTGCTCTTCCATGTTAATTTTAGAATCAGTTTATCAAGATCAGTAGCAACAGCCAACTACTCGGGATTTTGATTGAAATTGCACTCAATTTGTAGATCAATTTGGGCAGAATTATTTTATGATATGGAATTTTGATATTGGGTTCTAGTCCATTAACACCATATGGCTGTCATTTTGTTTATAGTTCCATTATAATGTTCTTCAAATGTTTTATAATTTTTTCCACTAAAGTCCTGCAAAAGCCTAATAGAAATCTAACTTTTGTTGCATCTATTCTATTTTACATTTTGAAGCTATTTAAACAGTGTTTTAATTTAATTTTATGTCTTTACTGTTGTATAGAAATACAGTTGAATTCTATTCGTTGATCTTACATTCGGAATCTTAGTAAACTATTACCAGTTATAACAAATTATCATTATGTGCAAATAATGACAATTTGCTTCCTCTTTGTCAATCCTTATATAGTGTGTTTTTTTTTTACCTTATCATGATGGCTAGATAGAAATAATGATAGAAAGTGCCCCTGTTTTGTTACAGATTTTAAAATAAATGTTTTCAACATTTCACGATCAATTATTATATTATGGCTTTTTGGTAGATTGTCATTATTAGATTAAGGAAATCTATTTGTGGTTTATTAAGAAGTTCTTATTTTTTGCCAGGCATGGTGGCTCAGGCCTATAATTCCAGCACTTTGGGAGGCTTAGTTGGGAGATCACTTGAGCCTGGGAGTTTGAGACCAGCCTGGGCAACATAGTGTGACTCCATCTCTACAAAAAATACAAAGAAAAATTAGCTGGATGTGCCGGTAAGTACCTGCAGTCTCGGCTACTCAGGTAGGAGGACCATGTGAGCCCTGGGAGATTGAGGCTGCAGTGAGCTGTGATCTCGCCACTGCACTCCAGCCTGAATGACAGAATGAGACCCTGTCTCAAAAAAAAGCCCTTATTTTTAAAATAATGAATCTATGTTGAATTTCATTCTTTTTTTCTTTTAATACGTTAATGTGATGAATCACAAATACGGATTTTTCTAAGGTTAAGTGAACCTTGAATTCTGAAATAAATTCATCTTAGTCTCTTATTATATACATGAAATCAGTTCATTAAACATTTACCACTTGGACATATATCTTCATGAGTGATATTAGCCTGTGAATTTTCTATGACTACTGTACTTGTTAGTCAAGCATTTGTTAATTTCCTAAAATAAGTTACAATGTTCCCATATGTCTATACTCTGAAATAGTTTATATAAGGTTGTAATTATTTGTTCTTTGAATGGTTGGTACTCCTTAGCAAAAATATGGGCCAAGTAGTTTTCTTTGGGAAATGTTCTACCTATTTATGCAACAATTTTAATCTTTATTAATGCAATTCAGATTTCTTCTTGAGTCAGTTTTGGTAAGCTATGTTTCTCTAGAGATGTTTATTAATAAATTTTGAAACTTAGTTGAAATCACAAAGCTATTAACTAACATGTTCATAACACCTTCTTTTAAATCTTTGTAGTATTTGCGATTCCGTGTTCTTTTATAAAAATTCCTGACTTTTAAAACATCTTCTTGGCTTTGTGTGTGGTGGCTTATGCCTGTAATTCCAGCAATTTGGGAGAGTGAGGCAGGAGGATCACTTGAGTCCAGGATTTCAAGACCAGCCTGGGCAACATAGGGAGAGCCAGTGTCTACCAAAACTGTCTTAAAAAACTAGCCAGGTGTGGTGGCACACACCTGTAGTCCCAACTACTTGGAAGGCAGAAGTGGGAGGATCTACTTGAGCCTGGAAGGTCAGGGCTGCAGTGAGCCATGATCCCACGAGTGTACACCAGGCTGGGTGACAGAGAGATACCCTGTCTCAAAAAACAACAAAAAAAACAAGACAACAACAATAACAAAAACCTTTTTTTACTTTGACCATTCCTGCTGCAAATTTTCTTTTAATATTTTATGAATGTTATTTTATTCGTAATAAAATATTTTATGAATATTCCTCAAAAACCAATATTTGACTTTGTTGATCCCCTGTATTATTTATGTTTGTTTTCAGCATATGTCCTGTCTATATCTTCTTGGACCTTATCATTATAATGCCATTGTCAGTGTGAACCATACAATTTCAACCATATTGGGGGGATAATTTTTATTATTTGTGCCAAACTAGAAGGGTATCACCTAAAATGGTCTTTGGCTATTTATTCATTGTCCAGTTTGAGCAAGATTTTCCCCAATGGCTAGTGGTAATCACCAAGAGACTGAAAATTTATATTAGGTACCGGTTATTGCCCTCTCTGCATTTACTGGCATCACATGCATCCTCAAGAAGGTACAGGAAAAATATATTTCTATTCGTCTCACTGAATTATTTCTCTAATATTTTCATATGGAATATGAATATTTCCCTTGTTACAATAGCCTTTTAAAAGTCAGAAAGTGTTAGTCATCGCAGATATTCATAATGACAAATATCAAGGTTTTGACTGTGTGTGTGCACATGTATGTGTGTATTCTTTGGTTAAGATTTTAATGTACTTCTTCTTGGTTACTACAAAGGTCATTGCTGGTCACTTATAAAAGACTAGTAATATATAGAGAATGAAGATATTTCCTACAAACTTAATTTCAGCTAGAGGTGCTAATTTTTCAAAAAAAAAAAGAGACAAAAATGTAAATAATGTGGATGATTCAACTCTCTGTTCCACTCAGCGATCAGAAGATCTAGAAAGAGCACGAGGTGGACATTACAAATGTGATTTTTCCTCAGTCTTAATTTTCACATACCTATTTTACATTCAGAGAAAAATATACAAGTTTTTCATATAACACAGTCCTTAAACACAAACATCTGATGCTCAAGGGAAAGGTGATTTCTTCTGTTATAGAATTAAAATTAGTTATGTGGGATTTAACGAGGGACAATACTATATTGTATGACTAACGTGTGTTTTGGCATAATTTTGCTGTATGTAATATTTTTACCTTAAATATTGACTTTCGATCTTAATTCCAAAGAGAGTCAATTCTTTCCTATCATGATAGACCTTTAGGATAGGAGAAAATGTTGTCGAGTATTAAGTAAAGTCAGCTCTGCCGGTGGTATAAAACACCAATTCTAACCAGATCACCTCTAACAAAACCATACTTAGCCAAATGCTAGAAAGCGATCTGTGTGTTTTGGAATGGTGAGAATTCTTAGAAGGATCGGCTTATCATTCCTTTAGGTTTTCCACTATGTGAATCATTTTGTTTCCTCAGTAAGATAGTTTAAGTAGCACTTTTTGTTGACTGCAGATAAAATTATCCGGCCCCTTTTTAATACTCCAGCCTCCTTTTGCAAACTGTTCCTTCCCATCCTGGCTCCCCCGCTAACAGTGCTCCTCCAGCCTCGGTGATTTTCACCTGGTTGCTCGTATGTACCAGGCTTCTCTTGACCCAGAGCTTCAGCTTACAGTGCTCTTCCCACTGCTTTCACCTGGTTAGTTTCTAATCTTCACAGTTAACTGAAGTGCTTAGTTAACTAATCATACTTTGGGTAACTTCTTTTATCCCATACTCATAGTTATTTTGTTACACAAATAATGATTGTAACACATGATTTATGCCTGTGGTTCTTTGATTACTGTTTGTTTCTCCCATGAAATGTAAACTCCATGTGGGCTCACAACTATATATTGAATGCCTAGTTCAGGGCATAGCACATCACAGATGTCTCACAAAGATTTGAATAAATGAATTTCTTAAAAAAGCAGTGTTCTTATCTACCGCGGGTGTGAATACAAAATGATTCATAATTAATTATATTATGAATAATTACTATATAAAAGTTGCTCTAAATGCAATTCAAGAGATAGGAACAGTGTGTCATACCAATACACAGGAGAAGAAAATGACTCTAATGTCTGCAATTATACATTTTTTCTGTTGGAGTTGAGATTTGAACTTATAACTAACTGAGAAAATATATCAACACCTAAGTATCATCCAAAGCAGAATAAAATAAATGATAACCAGAAGCCTGAGCAAACATCTGTGTGAATGAAGGAGTAATTAATTATAACTGCGTTGATCAGAGAAAGCTTAACTGAAGATAGTAAAGTGGGCCTTGAAGAAGGACATTAAGTTCTATTGGTAGAAAAATTGGTTAAAAAATTGTTACTTTTAGGAAAAGTAACAAAATAATGAAAGTTACAGAGACAGGCAAGGGCACGGAAAATTGGCTCAGTTTGAAAGGAGGAGAGGTAGCAAGCTCCAGTGTAGAATGTGGAGCCATTGAACTCCTTGGAACAGGAGAATACTGTAATCAGAAGTGTGAAGGGTAGATCAGAAAAATGATCAATGTGGAGGAGAGATAGCAGTTTTAAGGCTATTATTAAAAGTATAGACAAAAATAGTAACATTCTGAACTAACCAAGGTTATTGCACAGGTAGAAAACTAGACTTATTTGAGGTAGTAAACCTAGAAAAGAGAGGTTTTAAAAAAATTTTATATGGAAAAGAGAATTTTTTAGAATCCCACATGGAAAAGAGATTTTAAAAAATCCCTTAAGGTGCCATGCGTAATTTAAAATATGTTTCTTTGATTTTCATTCTGTGTTCTTAGGAGGATATTAATGCTATTTGCCTATGATTTTTAAACTGGAGATAATAAAGTCGGTTTGTTGTGATTGAGATACCTAAGGAATTAGATGTCTAACAGGCAATTGTCAATGCATGCAGCTCAAGAGAATGGTAAAATGCTAAGAATTAGGATAGAGAGTGGAAACAGAGGATGGATCAGCTTACCACAGAGCTGCAGATGGGCTTTCTACTATAGCAGTCCACAAAATGGGCAAGAAATAGAAGTGTTCTTGGAATGGCTTTAGGAACACAATTAACTACAGTTTGAGTTTTTGTGTAGGCAACGGGACAAGTGTATATGAGAGGAGATTAATATAATGATGGAATAGGATAGAAAGACAGCTCAAGATATTATAATTGAGGCAAACAAGGTTAGTTGGAGTGACATACGGAAAAGAGGAACAATTAGGATACACAGTTGGCCCTTGAGCAATACACGCGCTAGGTGCACAAACCACCTGAGAAGTTGAAAGTCCACATATAATTTCAACTCCTCCAAACTTAACTATTAATAGCTTACTCTTGACAAGAAGCCTTACTGATAATATAAACAGTTGAATAACATGTATTTTATGTTATATGTATTACATGCTGTATTCTTATAACAAAATAAGAGAAAATGACATGTTATTAAGAAAGTCATAAGAAAAAGTAAATTTACTAAGTACATGCTGTTCATCATAAAGGTCTTCAGCCTTGTCATCTTCATATTGAATAAGCTAAAGAGGAGGAGGAAGAGGGGTTAGTCTTGCTGTCTCAGGGGTAATAGAAGTGGAAGAGGTAGAGGAGGTAAGGGGAGGCAGGAGAGGGCAATACATTTCATGTAACTTTTATTGAAAAAAATCTGCATGTAAGTGGACCCATGCAGGTCAATCCCATGTAGTTCAAGGGTCAAGTGTATAGTCATTAGTGGAGATCTCAGAATTTTGATGTAAAAAATAATGCATTTCTGTTTAAAATTTTTTGGGTATGTATGAATTATTACTTAGTAACTGAGACTGAACGAAGATGGAGCCCCTTGGGATGGAACAAGATGAGGAATTCTGAAGTCAGGCTGTTGAGAGGATTATTAATAGAAATAATGAAATTCACAGAGATGGTGGCAAGGCTTAAAAGAATGTTCTAGGCTAGGTGTTAAAGCAAAAATAGAAGGCGAAGGAATTGTTTAGTAAATGAAAATGTGTAAATGTGTGGTGTAAAACTAAAAAGTACTGAGAAAAGTGCTACCTCTTTCTCCAGGCCTGTAAGATAAAGGCAGTAGAAGGCAAGCTTCATAGTTGAGATAATAGACCAGAAAATACTGTCAGCAAAATATAAATCCTTTGCTGATCTTTTCCCATTGACTTTTGAATCATCTGTTGCTCAACTACATCAGAGAAATAAGATGTGAATATTAGTTAAAATGCCAATGCCAAGCCAATTGTATTGATTCACTTATTCAAAAAAAAATCTATTGACTAGCCACTCTGTGCTAAACATTGCCCCTTTGCCACTAACTTTAAAGTAGTAATTTTATCTGATAAACCCACAGGCCAGCTGCAAGATTTACATCAGAGAGGTGGAAAGAAATCAAGTTTGGGCAAGGAATGATGGCTTTTCTTTTTCTGCTTAAAGGGTTTATATTTCTTGGCTATGAAGACAGGATGTGGGAATTAGAGTCGGGGCACCAGGCTTTAGTCCTACCTTTGCTGCTAACAGGCAGTGTAATTTAAAGTAAATTTCTTAATGTTAAGCCCCTGTTTCCTCATCTACAAAATAAGAAGTTTTAAAAGTATTTTTCATCTCTTCTAATCTATGATACTAAATTTAGTTCCCCTAGTTTCAGGAGAGACATGACCTAATATATAAAATATTGATTTATTGCTAGCAGTCACTTTACATTTGGTTTCTTAACCTTTCTGGCTCTCACTGTTATCATTTACAAAATGGAGATTTAAATCTGTTGTATCTACCTCACAGGAACATTATAAAAATAAAATAGGATGATAAATTGGAAAGTGCTAGTAACAAGAAATATCATTACCGCCAACACATTCCTCAAATGCATAACTATGTTTAGATTATTTTGCTTCATCCTTCTCTCCTTAACATCTTTTGTATTAGTTAAGACACAGGTGCATGTTACTCACTCATTATTGAGTATTTGGTTTTCTTCTGTTTATTAGTAGCCTTTAAAGAAATAAAAGTTATGCTATTTGCCAGTTGCTCCATTTGTAATATGATAAAGCTAGAAGTACCTTGTTGAATTATTATAAATTTCTCTTAACAACGTTTTTCATATCCTCATAACCACAGAATAAAAATAATTGAGAACTTGCTAGTTAATTTGGCTAGTTAGGTTTTTTTGGTAACAGTTTCTAAGTCACTTAAAGATTTCTAAAACCATTGTGTCCCTAAATTTTTAATATATGGTTACGAGTTGTATAGAGATGTTTCGGTCCATGGCAGATTATATATAGGATGGTGGTATCATAAGATTTTTACTGTACCTTTTCTGTTTAGACATGTTTAAATTATAATTTCCATTATGTTTCAATTGCCTATAGTATTAAGTACAGTAACATCCTGTACAGGTTTGTAGCCTAGTAGCAATAGGCTATACCATATAGCCAAGATGTGTAGTAGGCTATACCATCTAGGTTGTGTAAATATACTCTGTGACACAGAATGATGAAATCGCCTAATGACACATTTCTAAAAACATATCCCTGTTGAATGCATGACTCTGTGTGTGTGTGTGTGTGTGTGTGTAACATCAGGACTTTGAATGCCTGAATCTATTTGGTAATATCATATACAGAGGGTTGTGGTTAAAATCGAATGAAATGCTATTTGTGCCATTACTTTGTAAGCGATAGAGTATTCCACAAATGCTTGTAATCATTAGCTATTAAGCCACATAGAAAATTTTAACTACATGCTTCAGTATTCATGAAAATTAATTATAGTCAGTCTTATTCACAAGTGTAAATTGAGTATTACATTTTAAAATCAGAAGTTATCAGAAGTAGAGTGTCTCTCCACATAAAATATTTGTTCAGTAACATTACCATTTAAGTATAATGAGATTTGATGACAATTAAAGCATACAGAAGGAAAAATGATATTGTATAGAGGAATGGATAAGATTTTACAGAATGAGTAATAATATTGGAACAGAACTAAGATGTCAAAATTCCAGCTACTTACATTTTATTTTAATAAAAGTAGATAATTTGCATGAGTCTTGAAAGGCAACAAATTCAATTGATAGACTTAATTCTCACTAACAAGAAACAACGAAGTGCTGTGGTAATGATGGAAGGAACAGAAAATCTTGGGGGATTTATAATAGAGAAGGAAGGGAACTTTTGGGACAATTAATATATATATTATAAGCTTTGGGAGAAAAACTTCGTAAAAATACAAAGAAAATATGTATTATCCAATAGCCAGATGCTCTGGAGGTAAATATGGCTAAAGACAAATGAGAAATACTAAAAATAGAGTAGAAACTCTAAAAAATATAAATTTAGAGATAAGATTTAAGAGGAAATCAATGAAAAGACATCAAAGGTAACCGTGGTGGCTGAGTTCAGAGCTCTCTGATAGCTCCCATTTTAAATCTGCACCTAGGAGCATGGCTACCTCATCTCTGCCTTCTGCAGGCAGGAATGAGAGGCAGCGGAACAAGGAGGAGGTGAGAGAAAATGGCTTCTACTAAAGTAGTGGAGGTGTCTTTATAACATGACTCAAGCTCAGTAAGAAGATAGTAACTCTTTTGCATAATTTGGTCCAAAATTAAGCAAACAGTTCAGGTTTCTTGTAAGGATTGCTGACAGAAGAACAACATGCACAGTGTGATGTTGGATTTTTTTATACATAAACCAAGAGAAATAGAAAAAGAGAAAAATAAAACTGTATCCAGAGTACAAGACCTCATGGATGTCTCCACTCTTTCTCCATTTTCAGTTTTTGTAAACTTCTCCTGCAAAAAGCCACAATGGCTTTGCTTTAAAACCCATACCAGGGATCAAGATTTCCAAGTCACAGGAGAAGCAAAACAATAAGGTTAAAAGAATTAGTTGAGGGAGAAACAGGAAGGGTGTAAAGAGGTAAGAGGGTATCTTTGTAGACGACTCTCCACCATCCAATGGAAAGCCACACAGACACAGGCCAAGTGTCTGTAGGTGAGACCCAGACCATATGTAGTGTACCTGAGTAAGCTAAGCGATGCCAAAGGCACAGCCTCTTCCACCCCCTCTCCTGACTATAAAATTCAAACGTACCACTGGGAACATGGAGTAAAGAAATGCTTAAACTTCTTAGAGGTTCATTCTGTTTTTTTCCACAGACATGAAAGAAATAGATTCCACCCCTATTCCCTCCTAGCCAATGACAGGCACCTGAGACAACTTCACAGCTGACAGTAGAACATAAAGTGAGTTATTTTGAATAATCAAAACAGCTGAATCTGATTTCCATGACCACATTTTCCCCATCCACAGAGGAGGGTTAGGACACATCGAGGGGTGCCAGGTTATATTTAGAGAGAATACTCTCCAGAATTTGAACTTCAGCTGCTACATGTGACACACACTGGGATAAATTATCCCATTAAAACTGAGAAAAGGATACAAGTTCGTAGACTATCGCAATCATTTTGCAGTAAATGATTGCAAGATGAACAGAAACTAGCCCTAGTGGCTTTAAGGAAATCATCATAGGACCATAGGGGAGAGAAAGAGACTTCTCTGAGAAAGGAATCACATTATTTTGAAGAATGTGTTGAACCAATTTTACTGGACAGAGAACTGAATGTATTTAGTGTAAGTACAAAGTCACACACACAAAAACTGTAGCAATGTTGCAGATGACTCACCCATATACCCTAGCATGCATCATTCTGGAGCACAATAACCCAGTGGCTTCCAGCTGGAAACACTTGCAGCTCTTTGCTTGAGGGCTTTCTCTCAACCACAGAGCTTACTCAGTCAGTAGGAAATGCCACACAAAGTACTTTGAAGTTAATTATCATCCTTACCTTCTTGCCCTCTTAATAGCCCTTTACCTAAGACTGATAGAAATCGATGGATACATATTTCCATTCCTTGGCTTTCAGGTGGAATAATTCTGAAGCATGCTTTATGCTGTCTCCTAGAATTCCCAAGTAGTTTTCCTCATGGCAGTAACCTATTATATAATCAATGTTAATAGGCTTTTTAAATTTCCCTGACTCATTTCCTCACTCCCCATCTAGTGCTCCCCCACAATCACTTCTCTGAAGAGCATTCTGATATTGAGAAAGCTTATTGGATAGTGGAGGTAAAAGTCAATTATCAGGGCCCTCCGAAAATGGTACAAAATAACAGAGATTCTGGAATGGGCTAAGCAGCCAGAAATCACACACTGATGCCTAAGACCCTTGAAATCAGATCCCCAAAAATAGGGTACCAGTGAGAATTGACGTTCAAGGTAGGCAAAGAATAAATGATTTCTAAGTCCCTTCTTTTAAAAGTTTATCTGTCCATGTCAAGGCCAATTGCATTCCAGACAACGTGAACATAAAAATTATACTGGTTGTTCTGACATTTTTTAGGAAGATGTGATACTAGAAGAATGAAGGAAGCAAGTTTTGTCTTGATTTCAATTGTAATACTCAAAGGATGTATTTAATTCTACAGTGATGAGCTTGAAATCAAAAGAAGAGTTACTTTTAAAAATATATAGTTTGTGGCCACTTTTTAAAAGAAGTGGTAATAAGTAATAAACAGCATTACAAATTAAGTTATTCCTTTTTCCAATAGATTCACTGACAAATTAGGAGGAAATCATTTTGTATCTTGATTGCAAGGCAACTGAGTTTCTTATGAGTTTTGGTAGATAAGATGGAAAATTCCCACTCAAAGATTATTAGCAGCTTGATATATATTATCTTTGCCATTGGATATGTGTTATGCCTATCAAACTTGGCACTACTGGCATTTGGACAGGACAGTTGTCTGCTGGGGTGAAGGCAGGGCTGTCCTGTGCACTTCCGGTTGTTTAGTAGCATCCCTGATCTCTACCCTGTGGACATGAATAGGTCTCTCCACCCAAAACATGACAACCAAAACTGGGTCCTGACATTACCAAATGTCTCCTGGGCAAAAATGCCCCTGGTTGAAAAGCACTGTTTGCAGGGAGGTCTTTTTGAGGCCTCCCTCAGACCTCTTTCCTAATGAACTTATTTTCATGTAAATGTATGCATAATTTGCCAATGATGAATATTAGGACGTGATATGAGAAAATCGAGATATAAATTTATCTCAACTGATCAATCTTCAATACAATGAAACTTCTCATGGTTAAATGTAAAATACTATATTTATATTCAAGTAATAAGTGTCTAGGTACAAGTTAAAGGAGACTTTACCTGGAAAAAATCTGATAATTTTAGTTGATCATAAATTCAATGTAATTCAAACAAGTAATATATGCTTTTGAAAAATCATGAAATCTTAAGCATCATTATCAGGGAGAAAAAGTTCAAATCAAGAAAGGTGAAAAATCCATTGTATTTTGGCTGATCGCCAAATGTTGTTGTTTGGTATCAGATTTTGTGAACAGGTTCAGGAAAAGGTTACTAAGATAATGAGACGCCTAGAATCTATATAATTTGAGTAATGGCCATGATAAACCAGAATATTAAGATTGGAGAAGAGAAAATCCAGGCAGTGTTTGGGGGCGGTTGATGGTATTGGAAAGGCTGTCATGTGGAAAAAGGGTATATTCTATTTTGCACAAAGAGAATTAGAAATCAATAAGTGGAAGTTAAAGAAAGCTAGATATACGGAACCAAAATTATCCTATCATGAAATTGATTGTCTTGCAAAGGAGCTACCCTTCCTTTAGCCATGGCTATACAATGCTTTGTCTGAGACATTGTAAAAGTGTCTTCTATGTTGGGAAAAATAATAACATAAACCCCTACAATAGTATTAATTTTAAATCTACAAATTTATGATAATTCTACTCTCTTAGTAGCTGCCTAGCACACTTTAATTTTACCCTATTAAACAGGTGAACTTTAACTTTTATCTTTTAGTAAAATATTGAACTTTATAAAAGCATTTAAGTGCATTATGTTTTTCATTCCTCACAATCCTATAGGTTGTCTCCTTATCGTTCTTTTATGGCTGAATAAACTTAGTATGATTGAATGATTGCATGAAGTCCCACAGCTAGTAATTTTCAAATCTAGTATTTAGACCCACTTTGCTCGAAATATTGTCCTTGTGACAGATCATTATTAAGATAATTCTACTTAACTGAAAGCACACTGTTCTAATCAGTAATCATCTGAAATTTCACAGACCAGAAGCATTCAATACTTCTTTTATTGATTGCTGTTTTTACTGAATGAATACTATGGTTCCATATTCTATGTTTCTCAAGAAGTTACTTTCTCCTTTTTATTTAAAGATGACCACATATTTAGGGGTCAATACAGTATTTTTCATAGTCTAGCTGCCACTCTCAAATATTGGTGACCTCTACATGCTTAAAGATGGATGCTTTGTTGACTTAGCCCTTGCTGCATGTTAGATGTTCACTGACTATCTTCAAGGTGTTAATCAAAGATTTCAATTCTTGGAGAAGTTTGCCCTTAAGTGACTATTAAGTTGTTCAGAAGAGTAGACATATGTGGGATGAATGGGGTGATTTTCATACACTGGGCCTCAATAAATAATTGAAGATTGAACTTGTAAAAATGAAGCAAGATTAATTGCAATAAAAATTGTATAACTGGACATTTATTTATAGAGACGGATACTGTAATGGTTAAAGTTAGTTCATGCCATCTCCTTGATGCTTTTTTTTTTTTTTTGAGACAGAGTCTCGCTCCGTCACCCAGGCTGGAGAGCAGTGGCGCAATCTTGGCTTACTGCAACCTCCACTTCCCAGGTTCAAGCAATTCTCCTGTCTCAGCCTCTTGAGTAGCTGGGAACACAGATGCCCACCACCACTCCTGGCTAATTTTTGTATTTCTTGGCCTTCTTATTACTCGCTGAACCATTCATCTTCAGAATTATTTCTAAAAAAGTTTTGTTTATGTCTAATGTCTGTTTTAGTGATTCTCAATCATTTGGGAAACTTTGAAACCCTTTGAGGATTTGATGAACCTAATGAACACTTTTATCGGGAAAATGCTCATTTACATATACCTGCCAAGTTATTTTATGTATAAATATATACTATATATAATTATTTTATGTTAAATATTTAATACTTATATTAAAATATTAATTTTAAATATATATATAATAGCAATTATATATATTTACATTAATATATCTATCCATTATATATACATATATATCTTTTACATATATATTTACATTTATCTATCTCTATTATTGTACATATAAGTTAGTAACCCCTGATGCCTAATCACTGGGCCCTGGGCATCTATGCCCTCTATAGGTTAAGACCCAAAATCCTTGGTCTGATTACTAAGTTTTATATAGCAACCGCCTTTGAAGTGCCTACCTATTTTTAAGGGAAACTAAATTATATATCCTTTAATTTAGACATTAACAAAATGTGGATTGTCATGAATTAATAGCAATAAAGAAATAACAAATATATCTAGACACTGCAGGAACAAAACGAATTAAGCATTCATGTTCAGACTTTTTACTGTTGAAGAAAAAAAGTGCATTTTCATCATAAAATCATTTTCAAGTGCCAGGGTTTTAAAACAACAGTTTCCAACTGTTGAACTAAAACTTACTTACTCTGATAAATCATCTGATTTCTAAAAAGCTAATTTTCTTTGTAAGAAATAAATACAGTTTTATGGAAACAAACACTACGTTCTTTTATATATTTAGATTTGTTTGTTTTTTTCCAAATAAATAACACAATGTGAGAGTCAAAGAAATTAGGCAAATAGTAACGAGTATGTGATAGTGTTGGAATTTAATCACAGGTTTACTTAACTTGGATTCCATTGTCTTTTATAGAGAAAAAGCATATTTATGAAATTAGTATTTTAATATTGTTTGCAACTAATACTGTATGAGTTTATGGTTTCTGGCATATCAAGATGAACAAATATAACAAAAGTACATTTAATGGCTACATCTTTAAGTGTATGAATATAGAGGTCTTTAATGACTAGTTAAATCCAGAAAAAAGAGAGTCAACATTCTTCCTCTATAATATAAGGATGGGTCTTCCCTTCAAATGCAGCCTTCTTTACTTTCCCACTTAAGCACGAAATGGTGCCGCATATAATTTTTAAAATCAATAAATCACAGTTGTATTAAGAAATATTTTATTAACAAAACAGTAAATTCCACTTGCTTAGCATTTCCAATAATGGATAAATTGGCCTTGCAACAGAAAAACAAACAAACAAAAAAAGAAGAAGAAAACCCCTTTGATACCCAATCACACAAAGCACTAGAAGGGTAGGGTTATGTGGCCTTTCTTTGATGTCTTAGGGATTGACCACTTCACACGTTATTGTAGTATTTGTTCTTTTAAAAAAGGCAACACATTACATGGATAAAAAAGAAGCATAATCAATCAGAAAAGTTACAGTCTAGAGATGTAATCAAATTTATGCCAAGTCGTGTGAAATCCTCAATCAACTGCAAACTATGCAGGGAACCCTGATATGTTTGGTATGAAGATACTTGGGATTCAAGTCATTTTCTCTTTCTAACTCTGTTCCTCTCTTTTCTTTTTCCATTGAGGAAAAAATAATTTTTGCTAGAGTTTGTGTAAGCCAATAATATTAGAAATAATTTTGCTGATAATAAACTATATCAATCATTGCATGTAACTTTAAAATTTACGCTGGGGAGAAACATTGAAATCAATCCCAAACAACACATTTCATAGATATACTGCTTAAAATTACCATTATTCAATTTATTTTCTATTATATTTTAGAATCTTTCCAGATGGAAACTGGTTCAAGCTTAATAGATAAAATAGAAAAGCAATCTTAAAAAAAAAAACCCTTCAAGCTGTAAATTAGTAGTTTTACACTTCCCTTCTTATTTAACTGGCTTTCCCTGAGTAAGACTGAATGAGACGGGGGAAAAGAAAAGACTCGTGAATTATTTAATGTGGCAAATTAAAAAAAATGAAAATCTAGAAAAGAAGCAATGGATATTAAATTTTCATTTTATACCTTCTACTTTCTGGGTCATAAAAAGCCACTAAATTTCTTTGTACACAACAATTACTTGGCAACCATAGATAGTGGTGATTTGCTATGAATTATACATATTTCTAAGGTGCTGTATGTCTGAAATCCAGGCCACTTCTTGGCTTTTTTTTCATCAACTAAAGTATCACAAAAGATGTTTTGCATTTTTTGCCTTTGCTGATTAAAGCTAATTGGAAAGATATTCTTCTCTTCTACAAAATTTTTTATCGTTCTTTTAGAAGGTATTCAAGTAATGCAACCAATTTTTCCTGAAACATCAACTTGCAATGTAATAATGCATTTTTTGCACTACCTTCTCATATTAGTAATTTATTGCTGTGAACATCATTGAATAATATGCAAAACAAGTGTATAATCTATACTTTTCCACTACTTAATGTGTTAAACTAAAACTATATTTAATGATATATATGTAAAACCAGAAAAGTTAAAACATAGTCAATAATTAACAGAGAATGATTTTTTAAGTGGGTAGTAATACAGAATCAAAAATTACTGAAAAATACTTTCTTAGTCGAGAGAAAGTGTTTACTTTCCAGAAATGTTCATCATGCACATCAGATTCAGAGATATATATATTATTTTATTAGAAAGAAAGTTTTCAATTGCAGCAGCCAGAGTTAAGGTGTAGATTAACCAATTTTGCTTCCATAACCTGCCCACATAATGGTTCTTATTCATGCAGCAGTATATCAGTGATATTCTATTTGATAAGGAAAGGTTCATTTCTTTAGGGACTAAAATCTTCTTAAGGTTACCTGGGAGCAAGATCTCAATGAAGCAAATCACCCCATTTGTCATCAATACCTTGGCACAACCCTCTTCCTTCCTGCTTTTCAATTTGTCAATAAATATTTGCTACTGTATGCACGTTTGGATCTTCCAGCATATCTGATGGATTGCTGTGGATTCGTGTGTGTGTGTGTGTGTGTGTGTGTGTGTGTGTGTGTGTGTGTGTGAAAATAGTGAATGTATGTGGGAATGTGAGTATTTCAGGGAGAAAAGATTATAAGATACATATGTATATATGTGACTTTCTAATTCACACCTTTCATACAAGTACTAAAACTTAATTGCAACAGAATGAAGGCTGTACATATAAGAAAAGAAGTAGCTGAGTCTTTGTATATACATTCATACATATCTTCCTTAGAATAAACACTACACTGTAATTTCTTTAAAAAATAAAAGTAATTGTGGCAATTTATAATGGTGGCAAAAAAAAAGAAAAACCCAACTGAAATAATTGTTGCTCTGATGTCATAAAACTCCCTATACTTAGCAACACTTATAACATTGAATTTACCAAAAATGGCTGAAGAGCAGAGATATATTTTGCATTTTCTATACAACAGGCTATAAAACGTCACTTATCACAGTCCAGAAAGCACACAGAGATGGATTTTATATAAACATATGTAATAACATAATAAGCGTGCATGAAAATTTCCCAATGATTGCATCTATGCCCTCTTGTTTTTGTTTTGAAATTTTGTGTGAAAACGTGCCTTATATTTCACATTTTTGAAAATAAGGCCTCCATACTTTTTTTTCCTCTCTCACAACCAGAAAGGGGCTTTTTGAATGTGTTCCTACACAAGTCTTCAAAAAAGCCAGCACTTTGTTTCAAATGCAAGTTCCAACCACTGCTCCAGTTGCACCAGGCGGCAAACTCTTAAAGGTTTGCAGGTTGAGTCACTCAAAAGGACAGTCTTCTCTGGCAATTGGACTGACTTCTCAGGAAAGCGCTAGCACTTTGGCTAAATCCAGGATCATAGGTAGCTTCTTTTTTGTGTTATGTTTTGTGTTGGTTTTTGTGTTGTGCCTTGATGCTGTAGTACTCCTTTGCTTTATGAATGCGTGCGGTCATCACTGTCTTTTAGAAATGTTCCAGCAACATAAAGACAAGCAGAGTAAATGAAAACACTGTGGATGTTAGGGAATTTATTGGCCCCTGTTTTTTGTTTTTTGTTTTTCTTTTTTGAGAAACAAGAGCATGAGATACTTGTTTTTATTTTTTAAAAAGTCTTTCCTTCCTGATTGCATTCCCTGTCTTCTTTTGTATGTGCTTCATAAAAAGGAAAGTAAATAAGTTTATATTATGTCTCAGATAAAATGAAGACTATTTCTATACAAGTGTCCATTTAAGATCTTGGGATCAGACATAATACTCTTTATCCTTGTTTTTCTTATTTTTGTTGGAGCTTTTCGCACTGCTGGGTTGTTTCTCCTTTACAACAGCCCCATTGGACTGTGCTGAGTTACTGATGTAGTTTCGACTCTCGTCCACATGGTATGAGCCTTCATCCCGGTTTCTGTACTTGTACATGGCATAGAGGAGGATAAGGATGCACAGGGCGGCAGCGGCTACTATCCCAACGACCATACCCGTGGTGCTGCTGGACTCCCGGATCACTTCTGCTGAGCCTGGATACGGCTCTCTGCCGCCTGCTCGGGTTGGGTTGGCTATAGAAAAGAGGATGAGAACAAACACAAAGTGATCATTGAGTTCACTGAATACCAGAGAGCTATATTAACATTTATTATCTAATTCTAACAGCACCTATGCTTTAGGAAAGGTATGCTATTGATAAATGTAGCCATCCCTTTGCCTCATGGTTACTAAAAACTAGGGACTGTGATTTAAAGTTCTCTGGGAGATTTGTTGCTGTGTCTTCTTTCTTCACAAATCAATTTTGTTCACAGAGTTTGGTAAGCATTGTCCCAAATAAACTCCAATTAGCTCTAAAGGGCCATGTGGGTGACTTAAGTAAAAAAAACCCACAAACCCAGCATAAAGAAAAGCAGAACAGCCCTACCCTATAATACTAGAGGGAATCATAAGAATCAAATAGGTGTTGCTCTAGAACATAGGTCTAACTCTAGACTGAATCAGGACAACTAAATTTAGGATTACTTTAGAAATCATATTCCCCTTGTATTTTAAAGAATACAGTATTGAACAATAAGATAATCCATACATTTTAACTGTCTGCTTTTTAAAGTATAACTTTAGTTACATTTTTATAAATAAAAATAGACTAATTTCCATTTTGTTGGAGATTCATTTGTTTACATAAGTATGTGTGTATTTTATTAATTGATTGGGGAGCTCCCAAGATGAACTTTGGAGGAGAAAGTAATAAAATATTCTTTCTCAGTTTTAAATACAGTCTAGATTGATTTTTTGGTCAAAACTCTGAACTACCTAATAGATTAGATAATAATAGAAGGCTGGCTAGTCTAGTTTTATTCAACTGACAAAACCCTTCTTCAGTCTTCCCAAAGTATAAATAAGGCTCTTTCTTGGATGAGACCAATGGATTTTGGGGTGCCTACGTCTTCTTGAAGGCCTGGTCAGGCACTGAAATTGATGATTGATGGGGAAGAATGGACCTGAGATTTAATTGGTAGATATGAGGAGAAGGGGCAGCTCTTTTCCCCTATATATAATAAACTTTTTTGATATAAAAGGATAGAAACTGTAGCGAGAGAAGAAGATTCTATCCTACTCTGACTGTAGGTCATTTTTTCCTTGTGAATTGTGTTTTCTGTTTTTCCCTGAATCTCTATCCTCTCGCTTGTCTTACATAAAAATATTACTTTTCAGATGTAATGTATTAAAAATGCTACAACTTTCAAAACACTATTCTTTGCCAATTATGTATAATGAACAAATAATCTCATGATTCCATATATATTAGATAAGAATGTGTGTGTATGAGTGTGTGTTCATGTATATGTAAGAACTGAAAACTCAAGAAGACTAAAATTGTGCTTTTATTTCGCTACTACTAAACATCATTTAGTAATTAATTTTAATATTTCTGCAAAAGTTCTTGTTAATTACTGGGAATCATTTTACCAAACATATGGCTCTATACTGCTTTGTAATTCCATTTTCAAATATCACCAATATTTCTTTTGCCTAAACGTGTGTGTGTGTGTGTTTTTCTGTGATTTTCTTTTCCTTCCTCAAATAAAGCCTTAACAAATACAGCCATTTCCAAAGTAGTAGCTCTTAGTCTCAAAGTAGCAATAAGCTATGTTCTGGTGCTACAAAATGTAGCAGGTAAAACTTTTTATGCTGAATGTGTCATTGCTTGTTTTACAAAAGCCCACGGAGTGTGGCTGAATAAAAAGCTTTGGTGTTGCTTCTGTGGACAAGGTGAAAGGAGACAAAGACTATAATCCACAGTATTTGATTACAGGAATTAATTTCCTCTCATGAAGAATAGAATCTACTGCAGTAACTCTGTCACTACCTGACAAACCAAAGGCAGCACTTTTTCTTTTAAATACAGTCATCTTTGCCAAAGTGTGCCAATTAACTCAGCTGCTTTCACTAAATGAAAACTTTCATTTTACAGAGCATTCTTTTACTATGGTGTCTCAAGAGCTAAAAAGGGAATTTTGTTTAAATGTTACCTAAATCATTTTTTCCAGCCTGATGGAATGCTTTCATTTTAAACACATTTTCACAATTACCTCACTTTTACTCTGTCTGCCAGAAAGGAATAGGGAGAATGGAGATAACATTTGAATCATTTAGCTTATGACAGTAAAATTTGAGAATTTTAATGGAGTGGAGGGTTTATATTTTGTATACTAAGAATAGACATGTATTTTTTTCAATAAGGAATTGATATCGTAAATGGACTATCTTATCAAAAAAATTTTATTTTTATCTGCTAAAATATTTCTGAGAGGTTTTCAAAACAACTATGCACATAGCATGATAACAGCAACTTTGTGTTAAAATAAGAATGAGGTCACAAAGACCATAACAAAGCCTGAAACACTTCAACTGTGCCATATGCATTTGAAAACATCTCCTGTTTAAGGAAAACACTTTCTTTTTTGCAACACTAGCCAAATTGTTGCTTAAGTCATATGAGGCCTAAAAATATCTCTACACAAAACCCAGATGTAAATCCCAGATGTAAAAATTCTAAATATCATGTTTCTTAAAAATATAACCTAGAAAATCTCTACCAAAATTAAAATCTAAACCCAATAAACATGTTATCTTTCTTTTCCCCAGATTCACATTAAAATTTTAATAACCATCATAGCAGATATTATTATAGGTATGTTCGGAATAGGTAGTTACTCCAATATCTAACTGATTAATTAATATTCTTTTTCTATTTATGCTTCAAATCTGAAGGCTAAGTGAAATTTTTCTTAACTTTTCTTCTGAGACTAGAAATATTTATGTGTTGGTCGGGTGTGGTGGCTCACATCTGTAATCCCAGCACTTTGGGAGGCCGAGGCGAGTGGATCACGAGGTCAAGAGATGCAGACCATTTTGGCCAACATGGTGAAACCCTGAAATACAAAAATTAGCTGGGCATGGTGGCATGCACCTGTAGTCCCAGTTACTTGGGGGATTGAGGCAGGAGAATTGCTTGAACCCGGGAGGCAGAGGTTGCAGTGAGCTGCGATCGCACACTACACTCCAGCCTGGCAACAGAGCGAGACACTGCCTCAACCAAAAAAAAAAAAAAAAAGAAAGAAAGAAATATTTATGTATTAATGGGACATCTCTCCCAGATATGCAATAACAGGCCAAAGAGATTTAAATATATTCATGAATTATAAATGTGGCTTCTCTTATTGTCGCTAATGCTTTATTTTGATGATCACTGAGAAATCTCTGATGAAATTTTATATTAATGTAAATGTAGAGAATAGTATCAATGACTAATATGGTTAAATGTCTTTTTATATAATTTGTTCAAAATTTATATAAAAGGTAAATGCAGTCATCTCATCCATTTACTAAAATGTGAAAAAAAGAGAAACATAATTAATTTGTATATTTCATGGATTTAAGAATTTTGCATTCCCTCTACACTATATAATAAACTAAAATAAGACATTTTTAAAAAATTAAAGCAATCTGCAACATGTTTTTCTCTTAGCAGTGCTGAAATGTGAATAATGTAATTAATTAAAATTTACTTTCATCCTTTTCTTTCTTTGTCCCAGCACGTGACAAAGAAACAAGTGAAAGAGAATAACTTGTTAAAAAAGATTTAACTTGTTAAAAAAAGCAAGTAAAAGAGAATAAGGGAGGGGGAGCTAAAATAATGGCATACACACAAATAAGCTTAAGTCTTTAAGTCTTGAATCTTCAAAGATTAACTCCGACGTGTAGGTAAAATTAAGCCGATGTAGCCAGTTCATTATATTGGGCCCAGGGGCATAAGGAACTCGGTTCAATGGAAAACTTCAGTAGGACTGACAGTGGTCTACTACAAGCAAGGAGAGCAAGAATGCACACCTTCATCACAATACAAAGGCTTTTGACTTTTGCTGGCATTTTTAACCTATAAATGATTTGGAAGCTAATGATTATTCTAGCAAGGAAATAGAGCAGTACAACAGTTATGACCCATTTCATATTTATATTCACTTCTTTCTCACTTCTGAGATTCATTTAGCCAAATGGCTATAGAAAAATCCCTGGGACTCTTGCACTTATAAAGCATGTTACCTTAAAGGACCACTGAAAAGTAGTTTTTAATCCTTCCTCTCTCTTCTAGCATTTGGTAAGATACGGTGGTCTCTAGAAGTTTTCCACATGGTCTGCTTTGTCCCTGTAGATTTATCAAGAATCCTATGAATCTTCTTGTTTTTTGTTGTCTAATATGTATTGTGGTAACTTCGGTAAACACGAGCTATCAAATGTTTGGACAGTTAGTAACCTATTTCTGCACTATGCTCTAAATCAATTTGTTCATATCTGATGATAATTCAGATGATAATTCATTGTGGAAAATGAACAGTTACTACTAAAGGCATATTCTAGTGCCTTGTCACATAGAAAAAATAAATGCAACTGTTGCTCTCCATTAAAAAGTAAAAAAAAATCTTTAAGATTTTAATTTGTCTTTTGCTGAGATAGTTATTTTAAACAACAACAGGAAAGGAAATCGCCCTATGTATTATTTATTTATTTTTGATAGTCTTTGATACAGTATCTGTGAAAGAACATCATTTCCTCAAATTAGAACAAATTTAGATCCAATTAAGAAACACATGGGGAAAATATGTTTGAGACACATTAGACTTCAGTACAGACCAGAGAGGGCTGTCAGTGCAGGCTTCATCTCTTACCAGCTTCTTGCACCCTCTGTTGCTTCCTCCATTCTCCTCTGTATTTCTCCTCCCACTTACCCTTCTTTATTGCCTCTGTGCCTTGCTCTTCCAGCTCCTGAATTATCCTTGTAGGGGCCCTCCCCACCCCCAGGTAAATGAAGAAGGTCAGGCCAGCAGGGGCCAGGACTTTTTGCCTCATGGGTTAGCATATTACTCAGGAAGGTGTTCAATAAACCACAAAATTTATTTTCAAGTTCTGAATTTCAAAACACAATGTAAAATAATTCTTACTGGCACAAATGTCTAAGTGTGACTATTTCACCAGAACAGGTTTTGTGTTTCATATTGGCATGATTACTTTTAAATATAACTTTCTAAATTTGTTTGCAAATAAAATTGTATGGTTTGGCAAAACAAATAATATTTGATCACTAATTTAAAAGACTTTTGTGATGCATCTGGTGATATGATGGGGGCACATTAAGCCATTAAACTTTGCATTGTATTTATCAGTTTGCATTGTTTGATTATATCTAATCACACCTTAGCATATGCAAACAGAAGTTAAAGCTTGCAATTACTTAGTACAATGATTCACAACTGAAGTGCTAAAATAACTAAGCAATTTGAAAGATAGATACATTTTTGAATGTTAATAAATTTTTCCAAGGAGATTTCCCTTTGCAATGGTGACATCCTTCATTTTTCTTTTTGAAATTGGAAACAGCAATCAATTATTGTCATTAAAGAAAACTGCTCTTGATCTATGTTTTTGCAACTCTGCATGATAAATGGTGTTTAAAATCCTAATTCCTGATATAGAATGGGGTTTGGTGGGTGGTGGGACCTTATCTTTCTATTGACAAGTTCACCAAGGCATTAGCATGCCATCAGATGGTCTTTTTATCACTCAAATTGTCATTTTTATGAAATTATTTTGTATACTTGAATGAGCTGTTCTTCCACTGTAATCTTATATATATATTTTGGTTCCAAAGTTAACTTTCAAGGTAAGTTTGTAGTTTCTAGGTAATTTTTCGGGCTGGTTTTATTTCTTCAGTATAGACTGTTAATGTATGTGTATGTCGTCAACTATGAACCTGGCACACCAAGGATAAAGTAAGAGTATCATTATAACCTGATGACAATGGAAATTCAGCTTTTGAGCTTTGAGAAAAAGATTGTAAGAAACTACCAATCTTAGGAAATAATAAAGAAAAAAACATGCTAGTGGTTAAAAAAAAAAACATAGGCTATATATTTAAGATCAGGAGGGGACCATAAGGGATCATTAAACTCCATAATGCCCAGCACGCATCATTCTGCTAACCAGAATTGTTAGATGTCCTGTCTTGCAATGATCCTTAAAAAAAAAAAAAACTCTTGGCAAGATGCATTTACTGAATTTCTTCTCACTAAGAGTTTCTGACCAGTCTTTCTGGTTTTCTCATAAATTAAGCTTAAAGTAATAGATTTTAAATTTCTGTCTCCACCCCACCTAGGAAAGAGTTGCCTAAAATGATCTCATTAGACCAGAGTTCTATACTGTGTCTAATAGATGTGGAAGTTATTATAATTCTAGGCTAGACTTGAAAGTGATTTTGGATTTATAGGGGGAAGATTTGACTTTTCCAATACTCAGTTTCATTAATACTGTGAAAAGAAAATTGGAATTGTAGCCTCCTGGGGTGTTTGTGAATTGAGATTAGCACACTTTTTTCCCCCATTTGAAAAAAAACAACTCAAAGTTTATTACTTTTTCCCATTTTTTTGCTTCAATACAGTGTAGGCCAGAAGAAACAATTATGATGCAATCATTCACAAGAAGCCATGTTTAAATACTACATTTGTAGGAAAGCAGGGACACAATGATTTATATGACATGCATTAATTTCGACTCATGCGGTGGTTTTGTAAGAAGTGAGGGATGCTGACTGTTTCAAATTCCTTCCCTTCTCCCTCCCACCAATTCCACCCATGCCTGCACATTCTGAAGTACACTTACGGAGGTCAGACAAGTCTTGAGAGAGGACATGTCTGACACATCTTAGCCCTTCCCCAATACATCGGAGATTTAGAAAGAACTTGGAAATCAATAAACCTTTGCTACCTGCCTGGCTGCTGTCTCCGATATTTTCCTCTGCTTCTTTCAAAACCACCAAAGCATGCATTTGAAGGGCAGTTAAGGGGCCACCACTCTGATATTGAGACGTTCATTATCTTCTCCAGAGATCTAGGTATTGAATGGGAAGGGATGCTAGACACGGAAAAACTCATCATGTGCCTGCATGATGGAGAAACCCAACTAGGACAGGCTGCTACCTCATATGGTACCACATCGAACAGAAGAGACAATGGATGTCCACACTCTGTATGACCTTGGTGACACTGAAGACAAATAAACAGAGGAACATGCACAATCTCCCTCATCTCCAGGGGAAGCCATAGGATCATGGTATTTACAAATCTTATTCTTCAATTATTCACTATGTTGTAAACTATATGTCCACAGCTTAGTCATCTATAAGCTTCATAGACTTTTTACATAGTCATTGTATCCTTGTGGTTTGCATCTATTATGGTGCTTACTCCAGCACCATGGTCCTTACTGTTCCCATGGCCATTCATAGTCTGTTCACAGCTACCTACTCCAATTTGTCTTCCATATTTGTCAAAGGAAGTTAGAGCCATAATATTATTGCTGTCCCCAACTCCTCACATACCAAAAAGAGTTCAACCTTTATGCCTTGCTCATATAACCTTTTATCTCCTGCCTGTTTAAATAGTACTTATTTCTCGAAGCTTGGCTCAAATGTCCCATCTTTTATGATTTTTTTTCTCTAAGAAAATCCCCTCCTTCTATCAACGAGTATATAATGAGCTATAGTTAACATTCCAGGGACTATATGAGGTCCTGAGGGTATAGGAGATAACGAAACAAACTTGATGTATATGTCCTCATGGACCTTAAAATATAGTGAGGCAGAGAGGCATACAAGAAGGAATCACACAGTTAAAGTAACAGCTGGGATATGCATGATGAAGGAAAACTGTAGGTACCATGCAGGAGTAGGACAAAGGTTTCTGATTGCAACTGCAGAATCAGATCTTTCTGAATTAGTGACACTTATGATAAAAATGAGTAGAGAGTCGTCAAGTGAAAGTGGGTAGAGAAGTCTACGAAAAACATGTCGAATGACCTTGAGGAAACAAAGTTTACTTTTCAGGAATTAAACAACAGTTAGAGTGGTTGTAGCACAGTGAGATTTAAGGGAGAGTGAGAAGAAATTTCAAGGTGGACATGAAATTTATCACAGAGACTGTAGACTATGGAATAAAGTCATAATAAAAAGATGAGCGTATTTAACCCCATAAATAACAATTTTATGTGGCAAAAGCCATAATATCATTAACAAAATGAAAATGACAAAGGAGGGAAATATCTGTAGTACATATGACGGACCAAGAGTAAATACCTCTAAAATACAGAGTGTGTGTCAACTGATAGGAAAAAAGACAAACAACCTAACAGAAGTATGGAGAAAACTACACACAAGCAAGTGGAGAAGAGATCTCAATGCTGGTGAGAATATTCTTAATAATTATTTGATTGTTATTAGAAAGTAATCCAATAACATCTATTAAATTTTTTAAAATAAATAAATTCTCTCAACCGTATATCACATCACAAATTTTAACATTAATTCTATACTATTGTAAAATCTCACTTAAATGTTTCATCCAATAGTTTTGTCTTTTTTCAACTAGACTGTTGGTCCTTTGACAGTTTCCTGTGACTCTGTTTCTCTTTCTTATTAGTTCTCTCACCTTCCAAACTCTAATGAAGATTGAACACACTGGCTGAAAACTGCATGTTTTATGTATAGTTAGATGAAAGCTTTTGTAACTTGATAAATTTTCAAGGGTAAACTAGGTTGAATCTAATCATTAAGAAAGTGTGAAAGTGTGAAAGCCAAGAACTGTGTGGCTCACACCTGCAGTCGCAGCACTTTGAGAGGCTGAAGCCAGGTGTTCAAGACCAGCCTGGGAAAAAGAACAAGATACTGTCTCTAGAAAAAATTAAAACAAATATTAGTTGGGCATAGTGGTGCACACCTGTAGTCCTAGCTACTCGAGTCCGAGGTGGGAGGACCATTTGAGCCCAGGAGTTTAAGAATAGAGTGAGCCACGATCATGTCACTGCCCTCCAGCCTGGGAGACAGAGCAAGAAAGTGAGAGACCTTTGATTTTAAAGTTTTGAGTAAAGGTGCTAAGCAAGGGGGTTGAACACTGACATTAACATCTCATATTTCTTTAACTCACTACTTCTCTAACCCTCAACCTTTGTAATATCTGCAGTAAAAACGATAAATGTAATATTTACTTCATTAAATCAGAAATCACTTCTTCTGTGCTTTGGAGAATTGGGATCAATATACAATAATGAAAATACTGCATTTGCTTTCCCTATGCTTCAAGGTAATATGTCACTTAATCCCAATGACTAAAGTCACTAAGCTATTTAAAGTTAACTGAGTCATCAGTTTGATTCATTTGGATGCCTTATTTACATCAACATCATCTGACACCCACAGTACTGCAAATAGTTGACAGCTAACTTGAGCTCTTTTTTCAATTCAGAGTAGTTGTAGAAATTTCTAGGGTGCTTTTCAGTCCTGTTGCTATTGGAATTGAAAAGGGTCTCTTTACTCAGGCCCAACTTTCCATAATTGTCAAGCAGAAGAAAGCCATATAGGCAATAATTGAGAAAATCAGTTTCAAAACTAGGGACCCCAGAGAGTCTGTATATGTTTTTCCTCAAAATGTATTACATTCCAGAAAAATGCAAGAAGAGTTATATTTTGAAATGTGGATGATACTCCTTATTAACTGATTTCAACTCAACTGAGCTTCTTGATACCAAAATAGCTTCTCTTCCTGGGAGCTCATTGACTACAACACCCAAAAATATATACATCCAGAAATCACTTTTCTTAAGATCCATTTCCTTTTTTATATATAGATAATTGAATAATCTATCTTTACAAAATAATGAGATTTATTCCACAGAATTCTTAAGGCCTGAAACTAGAAATTTTTGGAAAACCTGGTTTATAGTAAGACAAAAATGGCAACATTATAGCTAGAGTAATGAGGAGTATGTGTGTGCATGTGTGTGAATGTGTGTGCATGTGAATATTGCAGCATTCCTTCCAATTCTCTCTCAGAAGTTGCTGAGTTTGCTGGGCATGGTAATTCATGCCTGTAATCCCAGTGCTTTGGGAGGCTGAGAGAGGAGTATTGCTTGAAGCCAAGAGTTCCAGACTAGCCTGGGCAACAAAGGGAGGAGACTCTGTCTCTACAGAAAATGTAAAAAAATTAGCCTGGCATGGTGGCGCATGCCTGTAGTCTCAGCTTCTGGGGAGGCTGAGGTGGGAGGATCACTTGAGCCCAGCAGTTTGGGGGTGCAGTGAGCCATAACTGCAGCACTACACTCCTGCTGGGCAATAGAGAACCCAATTAAAGAAAATGCTGAAGTCATTCTTCTTATCCTTTCCTTTCCTTTTCGCTTTCCTTTTCCTTTTCCCCTTTCACCTTTCTTTCTCCTTTCTCCTTTCCTTTCCTTCCTCCTTTCCAAATTAATAGGTAAAGCCAAGCTATTAAATAGTTCCAGGAAACCTTTAGCAATAACTTGGGGGTAAACTTACTTAACTAAGTAATCAAAACCCTCATCAAAACCTTCTTTCTTACATTCTTCCATATATTTTAACATTACTCAATTGTCAACTTATGCTTAACAGAGCTACTATGACTTCCCTGTAACATCTATATTTTGTTTCTTATTTTATGTAGTTAACAGCTATTATTTTTACTATTATTATATGGTAATTGCTGTGCTATACATTTTACACATAAATTTCATCTAATTTATTTCTCATAACACTATGTGGTGTAGGTATTATCATTACAGGAAAGAAAACTAAGTCTCAAAGAGCTTAGCCTATTTAGACTTTATAAATGGCACAGCCAAAATTCAAACTCAGGTCTGTCTATGGCTACTAATATTTTATATACTCAGTGTGTCTGCATTTATCACTGTGGATCAATTTGTTATTGCTTCTGATTTTATTCCTGTGTTAAGTGTAAAAACACTTAGCACTTTAGGTGTATTTTCTTTTTTTGTTTGTTTATTTTTGTTTTTGTTTTTGTTTGAGACAGAGTCTTGCTCTGTCGCCCAGGCTGGAGCACAGTGGCGCGGTCTCAGCTCACTGCAAGCTCTGCCTCCCAGATTCACGCCATTCTCCTGCCTCAGCCTCCCAAGTAGCTGGGACTACACGCACCTGCCACCACGCCCGGCTAATTTTTTGAATTTTTGGTAGAGAAGGGGTTTCACCGTGTTAGCCAGGATGGTCTCGATCTCCTGATCTCATGATCCGCCCGCCTCGGCCTCCCAAAGTGCTGGGATTACAGGTGTGAGCCACTGCACCCGGGCTTTAGGTATATTTTCTAAGCAGTTGCCCAGTTCTAGCCCTTCCAGCCACATTCCTCTTCACCTGCTGCCAACTCTCTGTCCTTTGCTGTGGGAGTTAACATTCCCACAGAATCTTAGAAAAGCAGTGAAGAGTGGTAAAAAGAATATCGAATTATGCATTAGGTTCTAGTCTAGGTCCTGTCCTTAACTTTTTGAGTGACAGTTTGCAGTTCATTATCCTCTGCTAACATTCCTTTATCAGAAACCATGATAATGACACATAAATTATTTATATCCCAGGGGTTACTGTGGGCATCAGATCAGGTAGGGCATTCAGTATGAAAGTATCTGAGGAGGATGAGGACTTTGTAAAAACAGTGATTATCTGATTGTTTTCTCTACATCTTCCACACAGAAGGTACTGAATCAGCAGCTGTCCCAACAATTATACAGTTTTGCAATATGCACTGCACACAGTGTCTCAATCAGCTGTGGCAGTGACCATCAAGGACATTATCTCCCCGGGAGTAGTTGTATTTGAGGACTTCCCTTTCATGAAAAGAGGCCTTGTGAATTCAGGTGGCAAAAATGGTCCTTTGCATTGTAGGGCATGTTGTTTCAGGCCATTAACTGTGGTGCTGCATGTGGAGCTTGTTTCTGTTTTTCTGTGAGACATTCTATCTTTAATGGATCAGTGCTCTCTGGCTCCTATGGTTGGAGTGAATTACATTTCTCTCTCTTTCAAAATTTTATTATGATATTTTATGTTTTAGGTGTCATAAAATCAATCATCTAAGACTATTCTTTGGTAATAAATAGCTGACAGCAAGGCTTATTATGTTGGTAAAAACTCCTTTGATTAGGTTTCATTGTTTCTTTCTAAAATTGTTAAGTCAATTTTCCCCCACTTCCTTCCCTGCTCTGGAATTGCACAGTGTACTCCGGATGAAATCCAAAGGAGACTTTCCACTGCAGAGGTGCATGCTGGGTCCTAGGTGCACCCACCCCTCCACCAGGGTGCCCGCACAGCATCTATATAAACCTGAGTCATTCTGTGTAATGGGGCAGTGTACAATTTTCCTGATTTAGAATTGGGTCTCTTTGCTTTGGGTGATCATCTTTATATTGCTGTCATGAGGCTATTTCTGTCTCAATTTTCTTTTGTTGGGAAAAAGATCAGATTCTTTTTGGTGAAAATGCAATAGCTAAGGTGAAAGATTAGATAACTTCCCCTCTGAGCCCATTAGAGGGAAGTGTGTCAAGTCTAGCATTAGGAAATACGAAAGACAAGGCATCCATCATGGTGGGGAGGCTGTGTGGGTAGGTGTGCCTGGTAAGTCATGCTGCTGGGAGTATTCCTGAGTGTCTTAGGAAGGAAGCAGGAAAGTTAATCATTTCTTCTCTCGAAAGCACTCTCCCTTTCTCTCTCTCTCTCTTTTTGTTTAGTATAAAAAGCCCAATTTTTTTCCCTCCAAAAATAAAGTAAGAAGAGCAGATGATACGTGCCCTCCTCCTACCATAGGAACCTAAATTTATCCAGCTAAAGCACTGCTCCTGTCTTAGTGGTCACTGAGAAAAGTTTTATGCTGATAGAATTTAGAAATACTTTGAAAAACTTGCTAGATGCTGAAGTATCCATCATTAACATTTCCCTTTCTTGTTTGGGGATATTTCCATTTATGATATGGTTTACTATTTAGTTAGTTTGCTACTACTACTAATAAAAGCTAATTTATGTTATCAAAGCTTTCCTGTGGTAGACTATGTTAAGTGCTTTAGATGCATTGTCTCATTTTTATCAGTACAGCAATGTCATGAGTATTGAACATTATTCCTTTCATTTTGCAGATGTAAAAAGCTGAGTACACAGAGATTCAATGACTTGCCTCTAATTACACAGTAGGTGGCCAAATTGAGATTTGAACACAGGCATTGGGATTTCTCAAGTTTACTCAATAAAACAAAATATTTTAGTGTGCTCTTAGATGTGACAACGTCAGTATTTTTCTTTCTCCTATTTTTTTTTAATGTAATTAATGGCCTCTGGCTATACTGGCATCTTTAATACACCATTTTTAACCTGGAAATGTAAAGTATTCTGGTCTTTGCTATTATATTGCCAGTGTCAGGCTTCTTATAACATTTTGTTTATGAGTAAGGAGTAACTCATGATGAGAGTGATCTAATCGACAAGTTACTGTGTTGAGATGAGAGCTGAAGGCTAAAGCCAAATGTAGCATTTGCTGCCCCTTGGAGCATATGTGCCAACAATGAAAGCATATTGGCTCCTCATGGAGGCAGCATGTCCTCTAGATTGGAATTCAGAATATGCTTGCTGGCTTACCTCTGATATCATCTGAGCAAATGTAATTAATGAGGTACCAAGAGAACGCCACAGGAAGCCAATTTCATTATCAAAACAGGTATTTGACACAAATTACAAGACAACGTGACTTTATCCTTCCTGGATTTCATGTTTTCATAAGAGGTAAACTTACCTTATATTTTTCTAAACCTGTGCTACATTCCTCCCTTCAAGGTGGTTAAATATTTCAGAGCATGGATGTGCATCTTGTTATCTTCTTCCAAAGCTCAACAGGACATGTGCCATACTGTTAAAAGGCTATTATATTTTAGCATCTTCCAATAAAAAATTGTGATGTGAAACCGATTATTAATGCTCTAAGGCTGGATACATACAGGCTGCCTAAAAACTTATGCTGTACTCACTACTGAACAGAGTTTTCTGTTGCTTATTGTAGGAGGTTTCTGTATCAGCAGCCATCTATTTTTTACAGACTTCAAGTAAATGCTTAATCTCACTTAGCAAACTCACTTATATGCTAAGTAATTATTATAAGTGGCCAATCATATGTTAGTTAAAACATTTTAACAGAACCCACTCTGTCTAATACCTAAAGAGACTGTGCTGATTTTTTACTCAGATCAAATGCATAATGCCTTATGAGCGACCTCACTACAAGGCAGAATAATGCCTCCATTGGCACATAACCAGTGCTAGTAGCAGTGGGTCCTCCACCTGTCATTGGATGTGTGATAATTATTTGTTAAACCCTTAGTATGTGGTATGTTCCAGACACTCTGCCAAGCATTGTGTATGAATCCTCTTTTTCCAATCTCATAATTAACCGTATTCTCCCCATTTTACAGACTAGGAAACTGAGCATCAAAACTACTAAGTAAATTTCCCAAGACCAGGAAAGGGCTGCGTCTCAAATTAGTTCTATATAATTCCAAAGTCCTTGCCATAACTAATATTCATTTCTGGTGGCATGTCACAGTTCTTTTAAAATGTTGTTAAGAGCTTTTCTAAAGTGTAGCAACCATTATATTGTTAAAAAAAAAAAAAAGTTCAAACCTCAGAAAAGGGTCAAAATAGTTCAATTAAATACAAATTGCTATATTCTAAAAAACAAAACAAAAAACATATGTACACACACACACACACACACACACATATGAAATACCTTTTGCTTGTGATTTTGTTTTCTGCTGAACTCCTAGTAGAAACTAATTTTGTTGAATAAAAACTGGTTGCTGGGAAAGTTGATGTCAAGTTGACCAAACAAAGATAGGCTTCTTCCTGCCTCTGGGCCCCTGGCCTTCCATTTCTTAGGGCATTTGTAATTTCAAATACTTTATCTGTCCCTTTGATGTGTAAATATGGAGGACTTGGGAGCCATCTCTTCGTAATATAAACATCAGAGAAGATAGCGCCCCTATCTCCTAATTTCTGTGGAAAGGGTGGGAGCCTAACTTTAGTGGGCTCCATGCTCCAAACTGTAAAACTATCCCCCTGTCATGAAAACATGAGATAGTTTGTTTACATTTCCTTTGGGTGAAGCCCATTTGCAAGCACAGTTGGTCCCAAATCCATCCATCCCAGCACTTAAATACCCTCCAGCCTTTTTTGTTTGTTTGTTTTCAGTGAGTTGCCCTCGGGCTGAAATCTGGCCCACCTCTCCTATTGCAATAGCCTTGACTAAATCTTCCTTGCCTGTTTAACTTTGTTCAATATAATTTTTATTCTGACATTACTGCCTTCAGAAAAGCAGGGGAAAAGTGAGTAAAAATGATGTGTGATAAATCTCTTCTACTTTAACCATGTACTACTTATTTTTATTCCAGTGTTCTGGACAATTAAATTTATATGGAAAAAACATTTCCTACACCAGCACGTTGCACACTGAAACCCAGCTAGCACATCAGTTTCCAACTCCAGCTGCCCCATCCCGCACCTGAATGATGAGCTGGGCCCTCAGCGCTGATTCTAGCCTGGTACACAGGAGATGCTCTCGATGTTCCCTCAAATGGAACACTCATTGCTACTGTTTTTCTGGCTGCAGCTCAAAATCCTCCATTTTGACAGCAATGTGTTGGCTATTACGGACTAATTAAAGTCACTTTTGAATAATTACATAATAAATAACACACATTTAAATGTAGAACAAAATTATTTTCTAATCAAGCTCTAAAAATATGACCCAGCAAGACAGTCCTTGAAATGATTGTGATGACTTATTTAATGAAAAGGTGCACCTTGTTCAATATACATATCTTTATTCCTAATGTGTTTAATGGTATCAATTGAATAGAAATCCCTTGACCTTTTCTCAAAATAGCACACTGAAAAACCACTGAAAATTGCATGGTAATTGCAACAAATTTAGCTTAATAGTAATACATGTAAAGAATATGACATGAAATTATTTAAATGAACTTTTGAAAAATCGATTCTATATTTGTGAGGTGCCTGAATTTTAGAGGAAAAACCTTCTGTGTTCCAAGAAACTATAAGCCCACCTTTTCTAAACTAGAGAATACACCAGCTCTCTCATATTACATGACATAACTTAATCTCTCTGAATCTCTTTAGCTATGAAAATGCTTCATAGTTTCATAAAATAATGAGATAGAATAATGTTTGTAAAGGACTAAGAACAATGATGGAGCGCAGAATAAATCTTCACCAAATACTAGTTATTATTGCTATTTATCATTGCTTATGTAATCTGAACCTTGATCAACATGATTCCTCTGATAGGCAATCAACAGTTGTCTTTTGAGTGGTTGTACTGATGACCTCACCTCCTGTGTTCCAGCTAAAGAGATGCCACAAAAATGGGTGATCCTTTTCTTCCCCCAATGACTAATGAGATATTTTATTATTCAATGGAACTCTTCTTTTCCTAGTTTTACAAAAGTTTAATTGATTTGAGAGTGGCCTAATATCCCATTAGCTATCCATCCCCTAACCACTCACAGAGAATTGACGTATTATTCTTAGCACTGTAAATCTAACAGGAAATTGTCCTTCCTAAACAGGGCTCCAGAAAACAGGAGGCAGGTCTGGTTCCCTTTGTAACAAATGATAAATTAGAGTTATTTATTAGGGAGCTACTACAGCAAAGAGGGTCTTTATCTTCATTTAGGATCTTGAATATCAACATAAAACTCACCTTTTTAAAACTTCTTCAGGAGTTTTCAGAAAGGGTTCTATTTGGAAGAGGGCCCCCAAACTAAGAGATACTGACATGATTAAAGACCTTCTTGGAACTTAAGTGGTTTTGCAGTGTTGCCATTTTGTCAATTTACTAAGTGGATCTAAAATGTAAAATTTCAAAGACATTTTATAAAAACTTATATTTGTGTGAAAAACAAAGTCTTGGAAAATATGTGCGTGTGTGTATAAAAATAACAAATACTAATAACAGGAAACACTCATATAGCACTTATTTTGAGCAAAACATTTTTTCTATAACATACTTTTCATATATTAACTCCAGCAATCACATAGCAATAACTATGCTGGAGCAATAACTCCAGCAATCACAATTTTTTTCTCTAGGCTGAGAAAAATCACGGAAGCTGTAAACGTTTTTTGAGAAAAATTATGAAAAAAATGTTATCTATCTCTCATGTGTCTACGCTTCTTAAACTGGGCACTTTAGGACAACACTGGCCTGTAACATTGTTACCAATAGCTGGTTCAGGTTTCTACCTGTTCACTAAGAGCTGGGGTTCAATTAGCCCTCCTCCATCACATAGCCAACATTTTGTATTCTGAAGCCATCCTTTTGTATTCTGAAACTGATCATATCAATGTGAAGTTATCATCCAATGCTAACTGTGCAGGACAGTGTGGCTAAAATCAAGTATAATTGAGTTCCATGTGTTCCCACCCAGGATGTTGACCCTGATCTAGTTTTAACATGCACAGTTCCCATCAGGAGGCCTGAGTGGTTTCATCAGTTGCCCACCAATTTTCAGCCAGGAAAAGTAACAGCATTATGTAAAAGGGAAAATAGCTTGGAATATTCTTTTTGTATAACTGAATTGGGGGAAAAAGCCACCATTTATGTTCTACATTATGCCAGACATTGCAATAAATGTCTTCAATATATTAATTAATATAGAACTGAAGGTATAAACTTTCTATTTTTGCTCCCAGAGCTTAGCAGAGCAGTAGGTATATAGTGACACTCAATACCTGATCAATGTTGAAGCTGATAACCCACCAAATATATAACTTCCCTGTTCATTAAGAGTTCTGAATGGAACCACAGGTAATTCCAATTTATCAAACATTTGATAAAAGGAATAATTTACTAGTACTCAAGATGATGCTAGATTTTTCCTGTTTCTTCCATTAACAGCTTTAGGAAGGTACCTAAATAAGGAACATAGGACATTTTCAGAGAAAAAGCCATTTTTTGAAGGTGGGGGAGGGTCAGAGTGATTAGAAAACTCATGAGTAAATACTTAGGGAGAGTGAGGTACTCAGAAGATTTGGGCAACGCATCTATAAAGGTAATGGTGCATCTCCTTACAAAGATTTGCTCTCACTTGCCCAAGGACTAGCAAATGTGCATAGAAGATACATCTGTTTCAGAATATTTACCTCAATATGTTAGTTTTATAAAAAGCCAGTATCCCAAAATATAGCCTAATATGTGAAATAATTTTTATTTAAGTATTTCTAACATCTAATAGCAGCAGCTAGAATTATCCAATGTCTAATAACAGCAGCAGCTACAATTATTGTTATATTATTTTATGTTTGCATTCAAGATGGATTGCAAGCAGGAAAAAGAAATTTAAGAAAACCAGTACATTAGGAAACAATGACCTGCAGGAGGGGCAGCCCATGATGAAACATTATTCAGACTTAAACAGGATTCAAAACAAAAACAAACAGAAAAACACAACCCATATTCCAAGAAAAAAGTTGGAAAATAGGAAAACATCATATAAACTAAGAATTTCATTAGAAGCTATCACATAAATAAAACCAATTTCTGCCCAAAGAGCCACCTTCATATGAAGCATTAAAGACAGGCTTGAGAAAAAAAGTAATAGGGAGGTGGACAGAAAAAGCTAATGTAGAAAGAGATTTAACATCAGAAATCGAAAGTGAAACAATTTATGGCATATATTATCAAGACCGGGGGAGATAAGATCAGAGGACAGGTTTACAGTGAATGATCCCATTAACACAAAATAATCTGAAGTTCTTGTTTTAACAGGAATTGATGAATTGAAAACTGAAGAGTGAGGAGGGACAAACTGAAAGAGAGGAGAAAAAGTTAAACTAGGCTTGGTACAAGAGTGTTAAAGTAGCTGTCGTTAGATAGAATCAGTAGCTGGTGTGTTTTGTATTTTGGGTAACAGACTTTGGTGCAGTAGAACAGAACTAAAATTGACAGAACAAGTCCATGCAGGCAGCAAGAAAAACAGGGTTCCTGCTTCATGGAATTTACCTTGTGGGGAGATTCAAGCTATACATTAATGAATGAAAAACAAATACGTAAACATGATTGTTTCAGATAGTGATAGTGTGGTAAAGAAAACAAAGGTAGAAAGATTCCCTGGAGTATGGCAATTAATAAGCTGCTACTCACTTTTCATTGTGCTATGATATTTAACAAAGCAGACAAAAATCGGGTGAACAAGCAGAAGACGATGGCAAAAGGGTTACCCCATCCGCCTTTTCTCTCCTCTCCTCTACCTTCTTCCTCCACCATCTTGTTCTTAGGTCTAGTGTCACCAGAGCAAAAGACAGACAGTAAACTAGTCCATAAGGAATGGTTAATCAGACCTATAAGCAATGGCTCGAAGAACTGGATCATTCAGCTGAGCTCACGAAGAAAAAGTGACAATTTTAAGTGCAATTAGTTACTGTGATTCACTAGGTACTCAAGGTAAGGATTCTGCAACAAGAGTATGATAGCCTATACTTAGACAGTAAAAGAGGGATTCAGCAAGTCCTGTAATTAGTAAGAACTTCAACAGTTTTCATCGCTGTATTAATACTGTGTAAAATACTGAAAAATGGATTACCCTGAAGAAAACACTAATTGAGAAAACAAAATCAACTATAAATAACACACACCCCAATATACAAAGACCAGACTTTGTTACATGGATAACTCATGCTAGAGGATGTCAGAGAAGATGAGATAGAAAAAAGAATGTCCTGGTGCAAAAGATTAACACCAGGAAGGTTGGGCATGTGAGCGTAGAAGAAATGGGGAAGGGAAATTTGAGGGTGGGAAAATGCAGAGATGGGACTGATATAATGACAGAAAAGCAATAGCAATGACTTTTTTTGTTGTTGTTGTTGCTAACTAACAGATTAAGCATACCAATGAAAACCAAGGCAAGATCTTAGTAAAGGGGCCTAGGATAGTGCCATGATGTGACTTTATCTGTCACGACAACCAAGAGGGAATGATTGCAGAGGCCAATGAGCTGGGAGAATGGAATGGATGATCGTGACAGAGCTGATCATTGTGAATGATAGATGTTTCTGGGAGCTGAGAGTCCTGACTGGCACTGTGGAGCCAAGAGGAAAGAGGACCAGAGCATACCCAGCCTGGTCTCCCACGCCCTGTCCTGTTGCGAGGTGACTGCCGAGCTCTTCCCCCTCCCTGGCACTCAGCAGCTGCTCTCTAAGCGCTACAGTCAGTGGTTACAATCAGTGGGGGAAGTGATATTCAAATATTCAAAACGAGATGCACGACATACATCCCGATTTGCTCTAAAGAGCGGATTTACTCTAAAATGGTATTCTTCACAAGAATGCAAATTCATTACTTTCTTGTGACATGAAATTCTCCTGGGATTCTAGGTGATGTCAATAGACACCACTAGCAGATAGTGGTTAGTCCATATCCACCTCACTCATTTTGTTAATGCAAACAATATTATTATTATTATTATTATTATTTTATTATTATTTTGAGACAAAATCCCACTCTGTCACCCAGGCTGAAGTGCAGTGGCGTGATCTTGGCTGACTGCAACCTCTGCCTCCAAGATTCAAGTGATTCTCCTGCCTCAGCCTCCTGAGTAGCTGGGATTACAGGTGCACAGCACCACACCTGGCTGATTTTTCTATTTTTGGCAGGGACAGGGTTTTGGCATGTTGGCCAGGGTGGTCTCAAACTCCTGACCGCAAGTGATCTGCCTGACTCAGGTTCCCAAAGTGCTGGAATTACAGGCGTGAGCCACTATGACCAGCAAAGAACATTATTGAATTTAAATACTGCTTTACCAAAAACCAAACCAAACCAAAACAAAACTAATGGAAATGAGCCTAACACTTGAAGTTATGAATATTTGGAATCAAATCTAGGCTATGAATTCATTCATTTTTCAGGGGTCTACAGCCACCACTTAATGGTATAAGGGCTGTATGGTAACAGTATTTACGTTAGTCACATCAGAAGATGCAAACATATCATAAAGAAGTAAAATGTTTCAGCTTGAATTTTAGGGAAACATGGCAAGACTCAAATATTTCTCTATTAAAGATATCAACGAGTCTACCTGCTGTTTGTTTTACTACTGCTATAATACTCTCACTTCCGAAATTCAGAAATATATCACTTAAGGTAATTTGCTGGCAGAGTGAGTGGTGGGGACTTTTTGTCAGTAGAAAGGTCAAATAATTTTGCACAATGTGCTGCAAATTTTTAGCTTTATAATTTTACTATAAGTGACCCAAGGGAAAGCTCATTATATTGTTACACACAAAAATTATGTTGTGAGCTAATGGAAAGTGAACAGTAAGGTAGAAGCCCTGTGTGCTATACCCACTGCTTTTTCTGAAATACATAATCTTGGCATGTTTTGTTTTTAATTTTTTCAATAAATGTGGAAAAATTTATGTAAAAAATAAGAGTCCTCATCTCACAATCAACGATGGTATAGGAGGGTAGCCTTCTATACATGAATATAAGGCCCTTCTAAGGAATATAACATGCAACAAAGATTTACAGTAAAGCCAAGGAAGTAAGAAAAAAAGTTGACTAACCTAACCCACCTGAGCTCGGCTCACAGGGGTCAATGTCCTCATCATCGCTGGGACACTCTGCTGAGGCCACAAGGATGTCATCTGTGGTCTGCAAAAGAATCACATTCAGTAGATTAATTTAAAGGGTCCTAACAGATTCTCTCATCTTTGTCTCATTGACAAGTGAAATACAATTTGTTTATCAAGAAACCAAATTCACTATTTCCCTTTCTAAAGACACAGAGCTTACATTTTAGATCCTTCATAGAAGTAACTGCCTATTTGTGAAAACTTGATTACACTTTAGTTTACATGAGGACGCAGAAATGGTGACAGCCAACTTGTAGATACCCATCCACTCAAATGCAGATAGAAGCTGCACACAGTATCATACAGAGGTTTAAAACAACCTGGCAGAAACAGATGATTTGAAATTTATTACAGCCTGGAGTGCTACAATGTATGCATCAGTGGGCTTTATGTAGTACTTGTGCTTGGCTTCCTAAAAGCAGAAAAGCCATAACCTTTTACACTCACGACTATGTAGAGTTTGATGAATCTTTGAGATATAGCTTGTTATTGGAGGAAACACAGATTAAGTAGAGAATTAGATAGCTCTTTCATTGGTGCAAAAAGGCAAGGAAATACAATCCATTTAAGACACTTTCATTTTCATTATGATTTCACACTTGAAGCTCATTTTTGTAATGTTCAGATAGCAGGTATTGCTTCCTCATCATCCCTTTCATCATTATGGTTTCATAATAAATGAAAAGTGTATTCAAAGTGGGGGAGGGGAAGAGGTGGCAGTTTTCTCTGTGACATTCTAGTTGCTTCATTGCGCTTACAGCAAAAAAGATACCTATCTCTGTAATAAAAAGCAGAGTCCATAAATCCTAGCAGTTAGTCACATAATCAACACACTGATAAGCACGAAAAGTTGTTCTTTATTGCCACTGACAAGCTGCAGTAAATTCAGCATAGATATTGCATGGAATCTGTAAAGGCTTCCATCAGAGTTGGCTCTGCTAAGGTAAAACAGAGAATCCAATGTATACAAATAAATAAAAATATCTCATTACATCTACTAAGGACTAAAGAGATTAGAATTGTTCAAACAATTCTCAGAATTGCAACATTGATACAGTTCTCATTTAAAAGTGGAATTAAAATAACATAGGTCTTACTTCAAAGAAAAAGCAAAAATACGATATGAGCACCTAATATTAAAGGAGCACCTAATATTGTCACAGATTAAAGTATAACTAAATTTTTAAGAAAGTTGTGGCATTTTGAAAAATGGAGACGAGGGGTGATGAACTTTTATAGAAAGTATTAGGCTTAAAAATCTTTCAAGTGCAGAGTCTTTAAGAACAAAGAATTTGTTCAGATGCGAATGCTTTACAATATAACTTTAAATAAACACAAACCTTTAAATAGCATTGGAGATGGTTTCATGTTACTCTGCTCTTACTTCTTCTGAGACAATTGGGAGAGTTTCTGGATTCATGCATTTTGCTGCTGCTATTTTAGAAAGGGAAGGTGAAAATATTGGTTTGCCTGGAAGTGTAAGTCTTTTTTTTTAACTGTTGAATTTATTGACAAAGTTATTCATAATATTCTCACTTTTTATTCTTCAATGTTTGTGGCATTTGTAGTGCTAACTCCCCTTTCATTCCTGGTATTTGATAATTTGTGGGGGTTTTCTCTTTTTTTTTTTTTATTATACTTTTAGTTCCAGGATACATGTGCAGCATATGCAGGTTACATATGTATACACGTGCCATGGTGGTTTGCTGCACCCATCAACCTGTCATCTACATTAGGTATTTCTCCTAATGCTATACCTCCCCTAGACCCCCACCCTCCAACAGGCCCAAGTGTGTGATGTTCCCCTGCCTGTGTCCATGTGTTCTCATTGTTCAACTCCCACTTATGAGTGAGAATATGCAGTGTTTGATTTTCAGTTCCTCTGATAGTTTGCTGAGAATGGTGGTTTCCAGCTTCATCCATGTCCCTACAAGGGACATGAACTCATCCTTTTTTATGGCTGCATAGTATTCCATGGTGTATATGTGCCACATTTTCTATATCCAGTCTATCATTGATGAGCATTTGGGTTGGTTCCAAGTCTTTGCTATTGTGAATAGTGTGGCAAGAAATATACATGTACATGTGTCTTTATAGTAAAATGATTTATAATCCTTTGGGTATATACCCAGTAATGGGATTGCTGGGTCAAATGGTATTTCTGGTTCTAGATCCTTGAGGAATCACCACACTGTCTTCCACAATGGTTGAACTAATTTACACTCCCACCAACAGTGTAAAAGCATTCCTATTCTCCACATCCTCCAGCATCTGTTGCTTCCTGACTTTTTAATGATTGCCATTCTAACTGGCATGAGATGGTATCTCATTGTGGTTTTGATTTGCATTGCTCTGATGACCAGTGATGATGAGCTTTTTTTCATATGTGTGTTGGCCGTATAAATGTCTTCTTTTGAAAAGTGTATGTTCATATACTTCACCCACTTTTTGATGGGGTTGTTTTGTTTTTTTCTTGTAAATTTGTTTAAGTTCCTTGTAGACTCTGGATATTAGACCTTTGTCAGACAGATAGATTGCAAAAATTTCCTCCCATTCTGTAGGTTGCCTGTCCATTCTGATGATAGTTTCTTTTGCTGGGCAGAAGCTCTTTAATTAGATCCCATTTGTCAATTTTGGCTTTTGTTGCCACTGCTTTTTGTGTTTTAGTCATCAAGTCTTTGCCCATGCCTGTGTCCTAAATGGTATTGCCTAGGTTTTCTTCTAGGGTTTTTTATGGTTTTAGGTCTTACGTTTAAGTCTTTAATCCATCTTGAGTTAATTTTTGTATAAGGTGTAAGGAAGGGGTCCGGTTTCAGTTTCCTGCATATGTCTAGCCAGTTTTCCCAACACCATTTATTAAATAGGGAATCCTTTCCTCATTCCTTGTTTTTGTCAGGTTTGTCAAAGATCAGCTGGTCTTCAAAGAACTAGAAAAAACTACTTTATATTTCATATGGAACCAAAAAAGAGCCCATATAGCCAAGCCAATCCTAAGCAAAAAGAACAAGGCTGGAGGCATCATGCTACCTGACTTAAAACTATGCTACAAGGCTACAGTAACCAAAACAGCCTGGTACCAGTACCAAAACAGATATATAGACCAATGGAATAGAACAGAGGCCTCAATGTAACTCTTAATGTCAGTGAAGATCGTTAGCAATTGGCACGATAATCATGTAGGTATCTTTTTAAAAAGAAAGCTTTAAAAGCAAAGACCCATTCTCCTTTTGGCACAACTACATCTTGCTGGGTAATATACAAACAGACTTGATAATGACGTGTTATTGAATTATGTAGTCTTGCCGGTCAGTTGCTCCAATTCCCTCCAGAGGAGATAATCAGCTTTTTGTTTTTTTCCCCCCGGACCAACATCTAGCGGAAAGCTACTTTTATTCTCAATTTCAAATTAATTTCAAGGTTACAGATAATTTCTCATTTTCTTTGAGGAATGTTAAATATATTGATGAAATCAATATAGTGTTGTTCCTATTGGTGTTTTATTCTTGTTAGAGGGAGGAGGATATAAATAAATTCTTTAAACCAATGGCTCTCACATCAGCAGTGATATTGCCACCTTTTCCTTCCTCCACCTGGAGGCACGTTTGGTAATATGTGGAAATATTTGAGGTCACAATTGGAATTCTGAGGTCTGCTACTATCATTGTCTCTTTTTGACTGCTAAACATTCTTTTCTTTCCTCTTCCTCTCTTCTCCTTCTCCTTTTTTCTTTCTTTTTTTTTTCTTTTTTTTTTTTTTTTTGTAGAGATAAGGTTCCAGCTCAGTCTCACTGTGTTACCCAGGCTGATCTAGAACTCTTGGCCTCAAGCAATACTCCTACCTGAGCCTCCCGAAGTGCTGGGATTACAGGAATGAGCTACCACACAATGCCTAAATATTATAAAATACACATGACAGCTTGAAGACAACAAAGAATGATCTAACCTGAAATGTTAATAATGCCAAAGTTGAGAACCCCTGCTCAAAACATTTAAAAACAGTTCTGTCTTATTGTTCTCCTAAAAATATGGACAGCATAATAGTATCTATTGTTACAAGGATGAAATTAGTACATGAAAAGTACCTAGAAGGGGACAACACTGTAAATGTTTATTAAAACTTTCAATATTATTATCAACTTTTTTCAATATTTCATGAATGTAATACCAATTTAATTTTTGCACTATAATTACAAATAATATAATTATAGATATTAAACCGAAACTTGTACATATGAATTATTCTTGAGGTCTCATGTTAAAATTTGTATCAAAATACAGTAGCTACATTGGTATTTTGTTGAACTAAGTACCATCTTTTACTGTCCAACTTTGACCTTTTAAAAGGCAAACATCAAATATAAACTTAAAAAACTGCTTCTTAAAAAAATTCATGGGCTACAACTGTGTGACTCAGTGGGTAGTGTTTCATGCAGACTAAATTATTTACGCAATACAAGTTAAGCTTTGTTTTAAAAGCTGACCTATTTTCTTTTGGAACAATTCTACACTAACCAGAACGTGTGAGAATGTTCTCAGTGTTACCTTCTGCAAAACACAATTCCTAAAATAACAAAAGATGTCATACAATGGTACTTCCTATAGCCCTCTTACAGTAGAAAAAAATAACTACAAATGCGACCCTTTTGTAAAACTATATTTTACTTTTTAATGTAATTTCCCTGGTATAATGAAATACGTTCTTGATTTTCATATATGTTTTTCCTCCAGAAATTAAAAACCAGCAACAATCTTGAGAATAAAAGACCTCAAATCAATAGATGGCTTGGCAAAAATCATCATCGCAGTATGAAAAATCAGGAAGTGGCTCAAGTGTAGGGGAAGAAAATCAAATTTCACTTTAGAAGCTGAATTAACTGCACAATTTTCTAGCCAAAGCTGTGTAATTTAAATTTAATTCACTGTGTTTGGAGCTGCTGCTATGACTTGCTGTTGAGAGAGTGGTAGAAAGAAACTCAAATATGTCACATTAATCAATTCTATTCTTTAGTATACTTTTCCCTGATGTTTATAACCTTTTTGAGAAAAGAGACAACCTGCTGAAAAAGACAGAAGCGTGATCAAGCAGAAGCATTAGCTTTACATAACAGTCCATTTAGATGAGTGTCTCTAACTGTGCATTTAACCACCCACAGGTGAAATTGCTATGCTGATCTTCCTTAATTCAGACTGGTCTGTACATGCACATCGTAAGCATCTCTTCTTGTTGAAAATGTGCACTAAAATCTAAGTCTCTATACTTTTAGGAAGAAAATGATTTGAACAGAATTCAAGAAATAAAGGCTGTAAAACTTAATCCATCCTTTTCTATATTTGAACACCAATATTTTGTAGGGTTTGAGAAATATGTCAGGACGGGGGCAAAAGAATGTTCTTAATGAATGGTAAGAAGGTAGACCAAGTGATTTAATACCCAGGGATATTAAAAAGAGGGAGCATTTGGTTGGGGGGAATTTAGAGAAACACAGATGTATGTTTGTTATTTTTTCTCACTTATAGGAAGCCTTTTATTTTTCAACATCATTAATGGTGGAATTTTCTGTATATGCATTTGCTGTCACTTTAAAAAATATAGCTTAACTGCATATCTGTGTGGTAAAAATATACAAGGAAAGCACGAATAAACCCAGTATGTAATATTATATCCCTGCTAAGAATAACATTCCAAGACTTTATTCCTTATGATAAACAGCTTTCCTGAAGACTAATATATTCCAATGAAGACGCTTACAGAAAACTATACTATTAAGACAAATCTGTTTTGTAAGGAAAAGAGCAATTTCCAATTGTAAAATAGGATATTCATTGTCAGTATATGATACCCACAAATAAACCCGATTTATTCTAAAATTTTAATTGAAAGTTTATTTCTAAACAGCAACAGTGTATCCTGCTATACCTCTAAATACGAAGCCAAAAGAATTGTCTCAGACAATGACATGAGCATTGTATAACATTATTTAGCCTAATATTTAACTGTTGTGACTGATATTTAGACTGAATTGATAGCAACAGTTAGTGGGTCGAGGACAGTGCTGGCTGAAATATGATATCTTTGGTTAACTGATGGGCACTTGTTCTTGCTGATACTTTTCTGTATGCAAAGCTGCTTTGGAAGAGAGAGCGCTCTCAAGTGTGGTTTTCATGAATGAATCTAATAGTTTCTCCAGAAAATATTTATCACTAGGTGAGGTTCCTTGAAAAAAAAAAATTTTAACAGGATTCAGGATTAGTATCACAAATTCCCAAGTAAGGTCCAACCCAGTGTCCTGATAACCTATGGAGCAAGAAGTTTCTAGGAGGTAAGGGAAGTCATAATTCTCACCAGAAGGAAAAACTGCAGAAAATAATCCACTTGTAATGTGTATATAGGTATATGATTCCCAAATTGCGGTCTATTTGATTAAAGCAAATCAGTAAAGAAATAGATCAAATTGGCAATTTCAGTTAATGAACAATCCTATTAAGGTGCAAGAGGAATTTAGAGGCTGTCTAGATCTTATTCTTGTTTCCACTGTCTCAATGAAGTTGCCTCAATTGACATAAAGATGTCAATTTCATGGCTCACTATTTAATAAACATAAAAATAATAAGCTGAGATCCAGTATGTGGAGGATGAATTTTACCTCCAGCACATGAATAAGAAAGACAGTGAGGCCCAATTACTCAACAATGAATACAAAGCACCTCATCTATGCGTAGCATTTTCTGATAGGCATAAAATATTCTCAGTACACATGAAGGTATAAATTGTGGTTCCGATATGCAAATAATTTACTGTTCTCTCTCTGTTCTGAGGCAAATGAACAAATAACTCTTTAATACAAATAACAATGAAGTAAATTCAAATAGCTTATTTTTCTCGGAATGTAACAATGTTCCCATATCCATTACTTCATTTACAATTCACCAATAGCATCCTTATCTGGAATGCAGATGGAGGTACTGTTATTCAGAGTGTTATAGTTAAGTGTCTGCTAAAAAAAATACTCATCTGTACACTCATCTACCCAATTTGAATGTGTGAACACTGGCTTTCATGAATATGTAGGGCAAAGCTCAAATACCCCTTAAAACAGCCACTTTCACATTTCTTTAATGTTCTTTCCCAATTGATGCCCTAGGCTATTACAAAAAGTGACCATAAATCAGCTGTCTGCTTGGGAAAAAGGCAGACTTGAAAGCCATTCAATTTTCTTCGAATTTTTTTCAGCTGTTTAAAAAGTATGCAATGGTTCCAGAACCACTAAAGTGGGTTTGAGTAGAAGAACTCTGCCGTGGTAAAGAAATCACATCTTACTCAGTCTAACGTTCATTTTTATGTACATTTGATACTGGTTCTCCTAACAGGCAAAACTCAAAGGAAAATATAGGAATATGGAAATAATGTCACAGAAATGCACTTTAATTAAGTTATGGGGAAAAGAATAAAACTGAATTTTTGAGTAATCAAAAAATAACATATTTTAGCAAACTTATTCAAAATAGAAAACCTACAAATAAGGAACCTGCTGTCAGGGAACTTGAAATTAAATTTATGTTTAAAAAATATGTTTTTTATTATTTCTTTATGCTACTGATGACCTCTATGCTCATATTGCATTTCCATTTTTAGCCAAGGCAATGTAGAAGGACTGGCAAAATAAATTAATATGAAATTTAAACTTTCAGGAAGCCATGGAACAACCTATTTTTCTGAATTCTCACTAATTAGAATTTGAGAATGTCAGACCTCCAAAGACTGCTGGTAATGGAGTAGAGGTACTGAATGAGTGATCAACTGTGTTTCCCGTCTCTTTGTTTCGCTTTTGGACAAAGCACTTTCTGAAATAATTTTGGCCATTTCCAAATTAAATAAATATTGAAAGATGTTTACAAATGTAAATTTAGGCTTCTAGCTGTATCAGTATGAATATCTAGTCCTATTATGGATTAGTCACACAGGTTGAAATGAAAAGTAGGGTTCTAAGCTGTATCAACATGAGTATCTAGTCCTATTAATGGATTGGTGGACTAATTAATAGATTAATTAGTCACACACATTGAAATCAAAATCCCTTTCGGTAAAAGGCCAAAATAAAACCAGACTTTATGATTGCAAAATGCCTATGATGGATAATTTCAACTAGCATGACTCCAAATCCAAGCTTTCATTGTTGCCATGTTAGGGAATGAAAACATGTTTTAGTTAAGCAGTCATATATCTTCTTGTACTGAGTCAGATCTTAGAGATCATTAATCTAAGCTCTTCATTTTACATATTGGGAAACTGAAGCTAGAAAATTTTAATTGGCCACAGTTATAATGCTAGTTAATGGCAAATCTATGAGATTATCCGACTCCCAGTAGATTATGTTTTTCTATTATCCCAGATGACTTCTACCTATCCATTCATCTATCCATCCATCCCAAACCATCTTGTTCTCTAATGAATTTTATGTGATTTACGAAGATACATGATAAGATAAACTTAAAATAAGTGAAAAGGTTGCAAAGGTAGAGTACTGGATTTTAGATAAGTAACCACTAAAATTGTCCTGAAGAAATACACACAGACAGGAGGTGCATATTCACAGCTTCTGCACCATTTGATATGGCAGCACATCATGTAACACTAAAAGGGGAGCACAATTAATGCTAGAGTTCAACTTTTAAAAATCCAATTACAGAAATTCAAATATTGACATAATTACAGTTATTTTGAAATGGAGTTAACCCAGAGAGTTCTTTATTTACTTGTGAAAATCTTTTCTGAAATTATTGTTTTAAAGACCTTACATACCATGCCCTCAGTCTCTGTACCTAAATGCATAACTAATTTTTTGGTGACAAAAAGAAAATGCAAATTATTGAATCTCTTTCTGTCTTTTTATCTCTTTGACTTAGAACACTGCAGGCTATGCTGGCTACAAAATTAAATCAATGAACTCCCTGCTCTCTTCTCATTAAGCCACTGATTAAAATCCTTCCAACTTCCAAGGTCTCTCTCTTACTAACTACTGTCTTCACAATGTAAGTGCCAATGAGATATTCATCTTTGTTTCTCTCACACAACTATCATTAGAGTTCTGTCAGATTATTTCTTATTACATCTTGGGAATAAATACATGGAAGTGATCATTTATTAGCCATATTGGTAGTTTCTCCAGAAACAATTTAAACATGTATTGATCAACTCAGTCTTATTGACACAATGACCTTCGAAGTGAAGGTTCAAGATCAAAGATGTAGAAGGAGCCACATTTACCTTTGGACAAGCAGCCAGTTATAAAAAACATTTCTCTGCTACTGGGTAGTACTATGACCAATGTCACCTGATAAACTTTAACTTGGGGATAGATGAGAACTTCCATTCCACACGATGCTTGGAGTATAGAACAGCAAGAAATATGGATGTGGCTGGAAATAATCACTTAGTTAACAGAAGGTGTATTTTCTGATTTTGAGTTGATTCATGAGTTGAATATATGCAAGACTCAGGACTGCATGCCCCCAAATAAGCCAGTATCTGAGTAGCATCTCTATGCTTGTATCTATCCAGTGGTGATTGAGAATAAACATTATCTGGCTCAGATGTCACAATGTTATCTTGTTCATGTGCTAAGAGGATCCAGTGTCTTCTAGTTCTAGTTAAACTGGAACTCCAAGCTTCTACACTTGACTACTTCATTCCTTCTGGTGCACATTGGTTCTTTAATACATATTTACGATGTTGTACTGCTGAAACACCTCAGTTTAATTTATACTATGCTGACCAATAATGCAAAATAAATACTACTCCAGAATTCAAGTCTCACTTTTAGTTTTCATGAGCAGTACACATCATCTTGGACTGGTTTCTGTGTTCTAAACATGACATATGAATATATACATATTATACATTTAAATACATATATTTATATATGTAATTAATTGTGTCTCACAGGATGTTAAGGGAGTCAAATTTCATATGTGTGAAGACATTTTGGAAAGTGTAAAAGTGCCCACGATGCAGTGTTTGTATAAATTATTATTATAGAAAACACATGGACACCGGGAGGGCAACATCACACACCACAGCCTGTCAGGGTGTGGGGGACAAGGGGAGGGAGAGCCTTAGGACAAATACCTACTTCACGCGGGGTTTAAAACCTAGATGACAGGTTGATGGGTGCAGCAAACCACCAAGGCACATGTATACCTATGTAACAAGCCTGCATATTCTGCATATGTATCCCAGAACTTAAGAAAAAATAAAAAAATTATTATTATAACTAATAATTTTTGTTCCTCACATGATGCTACAAAGGAGAGCTCCGGATAGTGCTTGAAGAGGACAACCCAATGTCCATTTACCTGAATACATTTTATTTTAATGTCCTGAAATCCTCTTGTCCCTCAGTTGAATAGGATCTGTATCTCTCACTTACACTAGCCCCTCACACAGATGCTGTTCTTGGGCTGCTTCCTATTATGCCAGCATTGAATTCATTTTGGCATTCCTTATTTAGGGCATATGTGTGGATCTCACTGGTAACTTACAAGGTAGGTAGCACCAATCTATGTCTGGCATTATGATTACCTTTCCTCCGACCAGATCTCCTGGAGAGCTTAGTGCACAGACTCAGGGATACTTGAGCTCTCTCTAAATTCTAAGTTCTACTCATTAGATTGTGAGAACCTGATTTATTTTATCACTGCATCCAGAATTTACCACTCTGTTAAAACTACAGCATATAAATGAACAGATGAACAGGGAAAAACAGACCACTTAGCAAACAATGCTAATTAAAGGAGAGAAAGAGAGAGAAAAAGGGAGAGGGAGAGAGAAAGACTGAATCTCTAAGTGTAATTCATGCATGACAATGCTCCTTACAATAGGAGTGGTTGTATTTGTAGTTATAATATGACTTTACCTATGGTTTGTCTTCTATACGGATTAATAATATGCTTATCAACTCCTGTTAAGACAATGAGCTATCTTTTCTTAGTGCATTAGAATAGTGGGAGTACTTGCCTTTTGAAATCATCTTGAAATCTAAAAGTATGAAGACTGCTTAGTGATATGTTTTATTTTATTTCATATGCTGCTTTTGGGTACAGTTTATGTTTTATGCCCCCAGGGCATCTATACAGGAATTCAGTAGAGCTGACTTAAAATGACATAATCACTCAAAAACCTGGCTTATATTCTTAAAGCATTTGCGTGAATAAAAGGATTTTTTGAAAATAATTATGACTTGAAAAATAATTGTTATGAAAATACAGCTTAGTTAAAAGTGAGGGATTCATCTTGACTTTAAAAATAGAAGAAATATTATACATGACACTTGAATTTACTAGAATCATCACATTTTAAATAATCTTACTCTTGATGGTCATCCACTCTAAGCTCACTACATTTTTGGTTATGAAAAAGGCATGATTGTCACAATTGCTCATTTATACCAGCTAATTAAATCTCAATATAAAATTGAACAAGTATAGATTATTTTCTAGGAATACACCTAAGAGTGGGAGATGAGAATTGTGGCAAAATAACACTTTTTCAAAGATTTTATCTGCCTTATAACATCTCTAGAAGTAACAATGAAACTTTCTAACTGGCTTCCACATTATACCCCATGGCTGGAAATGTATGGTAGAGAAATAGCAAAAAGTGACATTATCTTTAACTGAAAGAGAGAATGACTGAAGGTTAGAAGGAAGGCAAAGCTAAAAATGTCTTGCAATAAGTTGGTCTTCCTGCTTTTATGAAGCATTCCTGTCCTTTGAGAAAGCAGTAAGATAAAGCCTACTCTGTGGAAGGGACTGAGAAAAACATAGTTAACTATCATTTTGGGTTTTTTTTTTACCTACATAATATTCCTCAACTATCTCTATCTCTTACAAACTCTCTTGCAATAGTCTATTGCATTATAAATGCTTTTACTTAGTTGCAAAAAAGAAAAAAAAACTATTCCTTTGTAATGTTTTCCTTCAAAATCTAACTACAGGATGAAAGCTTTATCTTTTTCCTGAAAGAGGCCAGCCATAAGATTCACACCAAGAAATAGTGTAAGACAGAATGCACTAATCAAATCTATATCTACTGATTCTGCCATTCATTCATTCATCCATTTGTACTCATTTGTTGAATATTTTCATTTAATAAAGAGTTATACAGGCAAGGAATAAAAATACAATTTTCTGACTCAGAACATTTAGAATACTGTGGTGGCGCATGCAATCCAGTTTCTTTTGGGTTTGGAGAAGGCATCTATCATTTTATGCATTAATCTTTTACCCATGTATTAAGTGTTCACACTGTATATTCAAGGTTGCATCCCCAGGGCCTGCCACAGTACCTAGCATGTAAGAGACAAATATCTGGCCAATCAGTCAGAAATGATTCCAGCCAGTATAATCAGAAAAATAGAAGTAATTTGATAGGAAAAATAAGTCCAACACTACCCCATCATGCTAGACAAAACAAAAGTACCTTAGAGTTTTACAAAAACGTTTCCAAATGCAAGGGATTGACAGAACCAAAGATGTTCTATGTTCTCTGATACTTCAGCTATCAGCTGATTAGAAAAGGTATCAATTTGAAAAGCAACGAGAAGCATTGTCATGTTAACTTTTTTGGAAAATGTGACTGCTACCACCATTCACTGTAAGGCAATTTGTGCTCCTTCATTTTTACAACTAATAAATGGTGCCAGTGTTTATTTTTCTCCTTTTCCCTTTGATTTCATTTTTTTCATCTCTTCCTATTTCATTCATGGTGTCCCAACTCCCAGAGGAGCTACCTCAGGAAAAAAGATCTCACATAGCAAGAAAAGTCCAAGGAGCAAATGCTGTTTGACTCTAACCAACATACCGTAGCACCTTAGGTCCATGTATAAATTTAGGGAAGAGAATTACATGCTCTCTTCCAGTTATTATTATATGATTCCATAAGTCAAAGAAATCTGGAAATGTTTCTATGAGTAGAAATTTGTGATAAAGGAGATAGTCTTTTTTACTCTGCTAAAATATTTTTTGGTACAAGGAAGGTGCCCTGTATATAACTGTTGATTTAATTTGAGATATCATGAGCCCTGACACTTGACTTTTAGTTCTCCAATTTAAGTTACTAAGCTGCCTACATTCGATCAGGATAATTTGCCATATAATCATGAATGGGTAGGGGAAATTGGCAGCTTTTAACGGTTCTCAAAGGTAATTCCTAAGAGAGGTGAGTTGGAACTGATGAAATTGAGATAGATGCTAAGTGACCAGGCATCCCTGCTTTGAATTGTGAAATTGAACTTCAATGTGTAACAAATGCAGGCCTTCTATGAGCAGCAAGTTGCTTTTTCCACTACTGAGCATGGAAGGAGCATGAATGTTGGAGCTGAACAGACTGGTCTTAAATCCCAGCTCTGCCACTTACTAGCTGTGTAACCCTGGGCAAGTTCCCCAACTTCTCTGGATTTCTTTCGATGTAAAAGTGAAGTTATTTACACCTATTTTGCATGAGTATTACATGTATTAAATTATCTAGACCTAGATAGGCATACTATCTAGCACAGTAGCTGGTATATGGAAGATATTATCATGAATATTTATTACATAGATACAACCAGCTTTCAAAATGAATGGCTCTTGTAGACATTTTCACATTATTCTCACCGCAATATGGAAATTAAACTTTATTCCTAGCACTGGACTCCCTAATCTTTAGAGACAAACACACCCTTCACAGAGAAAGTACAAGTTTCTCACCTAAATTCACACATCCATGTTTAAATATTCTATAAACAGAGAAGATTATATGTTTGATAGGACAGCGCTTGTAAAAGCACCTCAAAAAATCACATTATCAGTATATTGAAAATACAAGGAGCATCTCTTCTCTCTAGCTACACGATGTAATCAAGCATTTGTCAAATCATATTTGGAGGCTCTTTGAATTATGTGCTCCAGTTCCCTTTTAGGTAAAGAGAAGGAAACCCTAAATTGGCATGGTCAGGTGTGGGTCAGATGTACAGTACCAAATTACTGCACTGCACTGTTCAGGAGGGACTTAGGAGTATATCCCAGTTTCCTGGCTCTCCATCCAGTTGGCGTCTTGCTCCTTCTACTCCTCCTAGTTTCATGTTTGGGTATGGGGCAGATAAAAATAACAGCGGGAATAATTTACTACTTTTCCCAAGTTTCTTATACATAACTTGACTTTTTAAATTCTTCCCTATGTCTTACTGAAATTTTAAGTAAGGCCTTTGAAAAATACTAGGGAATGATGCCGTCACTCACAGCTGCCAGACTGGAGAGCACTCAGTGGCTGGTGCAAAGCCCAGTAAAATCCAACCAAAGAACACAAGTGCAGAAACAGGACAAGAATTTTGCTAATTGTCTTCTTTGAGAACTAGGAGCTTCATTAGAGAATTTGCCTTTGTGCATGTATTTAATGAGATGGGATATGCTGCTGAACTCTTCCTGCAGGTATTTCAGTGTTTTATTTAGTTATGATATTGCCTAATGACCTCTTTTTTTGGTCCACTATTCAGACATTTTTGGGTCATTTAAAAAGTTGTTATAAATAAACATCACTTACATAACATTTAGATTTCTAAGTGATTAAACATATCCTCTCTTGGATAGCTTTCCTCTTGCCAGCCTTGCATTTACAGTCTGTCTCACTCAATTCTGACATATTTCATTGCAGTTGTTATCACGCCTCTGCCATCTGGGTTTGTCCTTTTCCTTCCCGCACACCTCTGCAATCCCCGCCTGCCCTCTTCCCTTCGTTATCATTGCTTAGATGCCTACTAATTAAGGACAAGAAAGAAACCTATTCAACATAAATATACCTTTTATCATCATGCGAACTTACACAGATGTAGCTTTTTAAACAGTTCAGAAGACAAACTTTTCTTGATGATTTGGTGTCATTTTTATGAGCACGAGGGCTGGAAACACAGTAGTGATCTCAAAGAGTATTGCTGACTATTCTCCATAGGTACCCAAGTTGCTCGTTTACTTTTTAGTCTATGAAAGCTCAATCTAGCTTTTGTCTTTTGTCAGCCTTTATAGACCTCTTTCTTCCTTCCAATTTGCCCCTTCGGATCTGCTTTGAGCTGGAAATCCAGATAATCAAAGTTCTCCGTCCTGAGAAATGAGAAATTGGCTATAAGGTAAAGGATATCAGAGAGGTTCTCAAATGAGAAAGCCCAGGTGCATGAGAGCACTCAGTCAAGGCTCATGGCTTAAAATACACAAGACCTGTTAGTTTCTTCCAAATGCAAAGTTCTTCGTGAAGGTAGTATATTTATTTCTAAGCGAATCTCAGTAATATTTTCACTATGATAATTTTCAAATGGGCTTTTCTTATTTTATTGAGTCCAAGCATCCTTATTGAAACAAGATTCCACATTTCTAAATTTCTATTTTCCAAGATCTATTCAAACAGAAGCCAAGCCTCCTTTTGTGTTCCACTGAGTTGGCTGGGAGGGAGGGAAATGAAGATGAAGTAATATAATAAGAAAGGTGGCTGTCTTACTGTCATTGACTGCTTTGCTACCTGAAAAACTCGAAGGTACACTGGTTTATATTTTTACGTAGAACCTGATGCAGCCATGCAGGCATCCAGCTGTATCTATCCAGAGTGGGTGATTCACCTGGTGTACCCTGAAGAGACAGAGAAATGCTCTTCACGGTAGCATCTTTTTGGTTTCCTAGGACCAGTTGTTTGCTTGACAAATTGAGAAGCCCTGGTACAGGTTATGGGATCTTACAATGCTGCTTTCCAGTGATCTGCTGCATGGGCATTGGAGTCAGACTTACCCAAGTTTAAATCTGGACTGTACTATTTAGAGCTGGTAGAACTTGTGTGATTTATTTAACCTCTCATTTGTAAATGGGAGGGATGCACTGCCAATCTATGCAGTAGTTGTAGGGATTAAGAAAATCATGACAGATGATATACTTAACACTGTTCCTGGTGCGTGATAAATTCAAAATAAATATTGGCTATTATCACCTTCATTATTATTTTATAAGACATACATATGTTACCTCCAGCATGCTGAAAATAACGTTTCTTAATAAAGTAGGCAAAACCCCAGTATCCTAACATTCACAAGAGGTAGACAATCCACTTTTGTCCTTGCCTAGCATATTGTGAAGTGGAAGGGGAAAAAGCCAAACAGTGCATGAAGAATGCAAATGTATTTTTTTTCCTGAATGTTCTCTTTTGCTTTTTGACTTTTAAACTCTACTTTATTTCAAAACACAGTCCCAACCATTCCAAAGCATTTTTGAATTGGAAAGCCTTCTTTTTTTGTTTCATAATAAGCTAACTGCAGGTGCAAACTCAAGGGAGACAGACCTTGGAAATTTTAAGTATGTTGCCATGGCAATGGTTTGCAAGAATGTGTATGAGTTTCATCTTAGCTTTCAAGCATTCAACTGAGTTCATACGTGGAGGTTCAAATCACTAGGCACACAATGTTTGCCACTCATTGTGTCCTGAAAGGTTTGGAAATAACTATCTGTGTTGCTTATAGCAACCAGAAACCACAAAATTCTATTTATTTATTTATTTATGCAAATGTAGAGATCTAGTCATTCATATCTGCTCTTAGGTGGCCTATCTCACCAGTGTGGCTGCTCTAAGAGAAGCTGTACACATAATTTCAACACTAATCATTTTCACCATTGTTGCAAACACAGTTGTACTCCCAATATGGAGTAGCTATAAAAATGTTCCACTGAATATCACATTAATTTCCTCATTCAAATTTGACAGATCCTTCCAGAAGCATGATAATTATTTAAAGATGTTGCATTAAAGCAAAATTTCAGTCTAATGAATTGTGGAGTATTTCCTTAAAAGTGTCTCATCCTATAGTGGAAGAAAGAAAGTGAAAGCACACAATCCAGTCATTAAATTAACACCACCCTCCCCAGAAAAAGCACCAGCACCGGCACTGCCAACAAAAAGACATGCAAAAAACATCATTTTATCACATATTACTACCCCAGTGGTTCTTAAATGGTTCAGCTAATGCTTCTAAATTCCAAAACCTGCACACTGAACTCATGCTTCATTGACAGAGGAGGCAATGGTTCTTGACAAAAGCATTCTTTTCCCCATAAATGGAATCCATAGCATACTATAATTGGGTAAGTTTTAAAGCTATCTATTGGGTACGGGAAATAATTATTAACAAATTCTCTTCAAATTACAAGGCTTTTTTTCATGTAAAATGAGTACTAAACAAATAATATCATTTTTAATTAAATAAATGATTTATTTAATTAAAATCCAGCAAGAAAAAGCTGGATTTCTAGGGGTGTATGTTCTTCATGTTTTCTAGCGAAAACTTGCTGCAAATGATTCATCATGATACAGCAGAATGCCCTACATAAAAACATGGCCACAGGAGACCCCAGTATCTCCTGCATTTTGTTACTGACTGAACCCTTCACAAACGCATTATTAGCTACCAAACCCTGGCAGCTATTTAAAATTCGCATTGTTGCTTTAACTTTGACCCATCTTCCAAAATGCCTGCGCACGCATGCACACACACACACACACACACACACACATCAATCTCTCAATCTCCCGTCCTCCTTGTTGTAACATTTTGTTGACGTACTTCAAAACTGCAGTAGAGCTTCCCTGCCCTGACCCTCCATTCTAAGAAGCTTACAGCAATGCTGGAATTAAACAAATGAGAACACAATAATTAGCTATGCAAACTGTCAACTAGATCTAAAAAGAAAAACAACCCAGAAAACACAACAATCAGCAGTTTCAAGCCCTAACAAGAATCTGCATTGAATTCTCATTTATTTTAAACAAAAATAGATTAGGCCTTTTGAAAAATATTCAGTGAAATTTCTATGGAAATAGGACAAATTAGCCTATAGGTCTTTACATCTCTAATTTCTGTGTTGCTGATACAGTAGAAAAGTCCAACACTCTTTCCAAATAAATGCTCTTCTACTCTTTAATAGCCAGATTTACTTCCAAAGGTGAGTAGCACCAAAAATATTTCCAAAGTGGATATGAAACAGGTTAGTGGATCAAATTATATGGTGTGACACCGCAGTTCCCAACTCTGTCCCCACAACCTCACCCTAATCATTTTATCAATGGTAATTAAAATATAAAGGGAAACTGTAAGGGAAAAATAATTCTTGAAATATATGGTGTGGCTGGGTATGGTGGCACACACCTCTAGTCCCAGCCACCTGGAGGAGGCCGAGGCAGGAGGGTCACTTGAGTCCAGCCTGGGCAACATAGTGAGACCCTAACACTAAAAAAAAGAAAAAAGAAAAATATCTGGTGTGTTTGTGGTATATGAAGGGGAGGGAATAGGTATTCAATTCTTTGGGTGGAGAGTATTGATTATATAATTTGTAGCTAAATCTCTCAGTTTCTTCATAGATACCAATCAACTGCCTCCTCACCCTTCGGGAACCATCCTGAGTTCTGATGAAGCAACATGGATTATCTCTATGATACAGACACTTTGAATGAATACTAATCTAATGCTTCAATTGACTGTTAAATGTTCTCTTAACCCATTTGCATCCCGTAATAGAAATTTGGATTTTTTTAAATTGAGAATTGTAATGACTCTGTAAAAGTTTTGTTGCTTCAAGTCTTTTATCTTTAAACTTGCTGAATAACTGCCTACTTTATAAATTGAGAATGTAATATGTAATGCCTGAAACTAGTGTAGGACAAGAAATAGTAATCTAAGTTTTGACTAAGAGTTCTATGTAACCCATTGACCTGGGGCAAATCACTCCTCATCCTAATATAAGTAGGTTAGAGTAGATGACCTTTCATATTTCCCATGCAATGATGGAGAGTAACACAAGGGAGTCCTGTGGTAACGGTAGAGGGTAATATCTTGATTGTGGTGGTGGTTACAAGAAGCTACACATGTGATAAAACTGCATAGAGGCCGGACACGGTGGCTCATGAGGTCAGGAGATCAAGACCATCCTGGCTAACACGGTGAAACCTCGTCTTTACTAAAAATACAAAAATTAGCCGGGGGTGGTGGCATGCACCTGTAGTCCCAGCTACTCAGGAGCGTCAGGCAGGAGGAGCCCTTGAGCCCAGGATATGGAGACAGCAGTGAGCTATGATCATGCAACTGCACTCAGCCTGGGCAACAAATTGAGAGCCTGCCTCTAAATAAATAAATAAATAAATAAATAAATAAAATGAAAACAAAATACAAATAAAATGAAACTGACAAAATAAAACAGGAAATATCACGGATTCACTAAAAATTAAATATCCATATTTATATCCCGAGGATGCTGCCATTTCTGCCCAGTTAGCTACCCCTACAATGTGTAATCTTATTTTTCAATCCTCAAATCCTGCAGAATCCTTATTTATCTGATAATTCAATTGTGCTCAATATGCTTCCTTTTAACGTCACAGAATTCGGTGAATTTTCCTGACTTCCATGTGGTCGAAAAATAATGGCTGGTGACTTAGAAATTTTACTGCTATGTATTGGCTTCAAAATTTGTCTTTCAAGTGACAGGAATGGGGCAGAAAAAGACAGTAGATGCCACTAGCAGAGTTCTGGTGTAGGCAAAGTAGAAGAAAAGAGGCAAAACAAACAGGAAATAACTAAGCAAGAGAATGAGCAGAAGGAAGGAGAAAAGCTAAGAAAAGAGTTCCTCCACCTATGTTTGGGCGGTGGCAGAGTGTCTCTGTCCATTTTACAAGTGACATCTATGATACAGCTATTTCATATTTAGGAAAGTAGAATGAATCACGCAATGAGATGTGAAATAAGTCTTGATTACAGTATTCTAGAAAGGGGCTTAAAAGAAGCAAAAGACTTTACTCCTGGTAAACACCAAACCTTCAGACACAGAACAGAAATGTGCCGTTAGAAGATCCCTCTCACCCCCATCCTTTAACATCTTTCACCAAACAAAACAGGGTAAAACAAACTCAGGCAGTTTCTCAATTACTTTCATTAAAATGTCTATGAACGGTGAATTAAATGACGAATCTCTTTCAGAACCCATTAATACTTTTTCCAGAGCTAATACTATCAGTAAATTTTAAATAGTGGGAGGAATTATTATAAAAGAATAAAATATGTAACAGATGCTGAATCGGTCATATGTCCCAGAGCTGCTGTAACATACCCAGGCCCGTACTTCATGTGTCCATAACGAAAAGAGCTGGCTGAGAAGTTATGAGGCCACACCTCACAACACCTCACCCTGCTCTCTCCCTAGTCCCACAGAGGCACAATGCTTCTAAAGCTTTGAAGCCTGAAGTTCAGGGAATGCTTTAAAGATGAAGTGTTTAAGCTATTTTCTGGAAGCCAAATCTATCATTTTAAGATTACATTAAAAGCTACACTTCTACTGTTCATATCAATTTACGCTCCAAACTGCTGGTTTCTCAGAGCATCCATTGAATCCTGGTGGGAGGTAAATAGTTTCTGTTTAGATTTTGACAGAAAATTAAAATTTAAAACATAATCACTACATCTTCCATATACTAAGAAGTCTTCGGTGGCTCATGCTGTAATCCCAGCACTTTGGGAGGCTGAGGTGGATGGATTACCTGAGGTCAGGAGTTCGAGACCAGACTGGCAACATGGTGAAACCCCGCCTCTACTAAAAATACAAAAAATTAATCGGGTGTGGTGGCGCACACCTGTAATGCCAGCTACTCGGGAGGCTGAGGCGGGAAAATTGCTTGAACTAGGGAGGTGGAGGTTGCGGTGAGCCGAGATCACGCCATTGCACTTCAGCAAAAAAGCCAGGCCTGGTGGCTCACATCTGTAATCCCAGCACTTTGGGAGGCTAAGGCAGGTGGATTGCCTGAGGTCAGGAGTTCGAGACCAGCCTGGCCAACATGGTGAAACCATGTCTCTACTAAAAATACGAAAAATTAGCTGGACATGGTGGCGGGCACCTGTAATCCCAGCTACTAGGGAGGCTGAGGTGGGAGAATCACTTGAACCCAGGAGGTGGAGGTTGCAGTGAACCAAGATTGTGCCATTGCACTCCAGCCTGGGCAACAAAAGCAAAAGTCCATCTCAAAAAATAAAAAATAATAAAGTCTTGAAATGATAAATGTAAAAGTTCTTTATTTTATTTTTTGAGACGAGGGTCTCACTCTGTCACCCAGGGTGGAGTGCAGTGGTGCAATATCAGATCACTGCAACCTCTGTCTCCTGGGCTCAAGTGATTCTCCCCCTTCAGGCCCCTGACAGGTGCAGGTGCACACCACCACACCTAGCTATTTTTTGTATTTTTGGTAGAGACAGGGTTTCACCACGTTTCCCAGGCTGGTCTCAAACTCCTGAGCTCCAATGATCCACCTGCCTTGGCCTCCCAAAGTGCTGGGATTACAGGCATGAGCCACTATGTCCGGTTTCAAAGTTCTAATTACGTTTCCTTGTGTCTAAGAAAAAATTTTTTCTGCCTAAGGTTTCTAATTATTATAGACACCAGCAGGCTATAAATATGTATATATATTTTGAGACAGAGTGTGCCTCCGTCTCCCAGGCTGGAGTGTAATGGCTCCATCTCGGCTCACTGCAACCTCCGCCTCCCAAGTTCAAACAATTATCTTGCCTCAGCCTCCCAAGTAGCTGGGTTTACAGGTGCCCACCACCACGCCCAGCTAATTTTTTGTATTTTTAGTAGAGACGGGGTTTCACCATGTTGGCCAGGCTGGTCTCGAACTCCTGACCTCAGGCGATCCACCCTCCTTGGCCTCCCAAAGTGCTGGGATTACAGGTGTGAGCCACTGCGCCCAGCCTAGGTTTTTATATATAAATTGTGAACAGTCATAAAAATAATTTGTCCTACACAAGTTTTTGTGCCTACTATAGACTTTCACACTGATAGAAAAAAAAATGCTTACAAAGCCTTTTTCTCAGAGGATCTCATTTGGCAGTTTTGAAATTTACTTTTCCACAAATCTTTATCAGTGGTAAGAATGTTTCTGAGGCTGTGCTGTCAATCACTTATGTCACCACTTTCCTTCCCACTTCATTAGGAACCACACTGTACTTTATTTCTTAAAGGAGAATCTGAAACTGATTTGGGGAAGAAGGACTTTTAGTCCAGAGTATGCAGCATTGTATAAAATATGTATTGATATAAAGCCTAAAAATACACACAGTAGGTACAGCATTCACATACGCAATTATTTAGCAGGTTCAGCTGGTGTGATTTTACACCACAGTGTTCTTCTTACGAATACCAGAGAGAAAATCAAAGTTTCTTGACATATGGTAATAAATATTTTCACTTACAGTAAATAATTTTTGCTCTTTTGGCATCCATTGTATAAAAGCTAGTTTGAAATCATTCCAAATTAGCAAAGCTAGAAGTTTGGTAACACAAGGGGAACGAGCAGTATAGGCCCCCATACCTTCGTTTTCACTGAAGTGTGCTTGCTTTTGAGATACAACACTGAGAAAACTTCCTCATTTTCAAGATGAAGAGATGTTATTTCTTCCTATTGTGTTTCTAGGACTCGAAATGAGCATCTGTATTCTTCATTATGGAAATGGAAAATGAGTTTGCCCTATAATTAATGCTAGACATGACAATTTTTCTGGCACTACCTTCAAAATAAAAATTTTCAATATGAAAATCTCATAAGAAAATCTCAGATGCAGATTCATCTCAAAATCCAGGTGACATAATTCAACAAAATGAAAAGCAGCCTGTTTATAAGACCAATTTTCTTTAAAGCATTTCTTTTTTTTTTTTAAGGAAACACATTTATTCACACTCTAAAATCATGAAATGTTAGACCTGCGAACTCCTCACCTTACAAACAAGAAAATCAGGTATCAGATGATTAAGCCATTAAGTCTTCACCAGTAGATACAGAACTTTCTCCAGTACAATGTCTTCACATAAATCAATTAAAAGAAAATGCTCTAAAATTAGATAAGCTCCAAAGAGTAATCTGTTCACACTGGGACATGTTGAATTTGAGGTGAACTGATAGCAGTTGTAAGGGTAAATCTGAAGTTGAGAAGAGAATTCTGGGCTGGGGATCATATAGATTTCCCAACGAAACCAAAAGAGAAAAGGAGATTCTGAGACCACCTTCAGAAAAATCCAACATTTAAAAGGGTAGAAAGAAAAAGCAGGTACAAACAAAGAACTGCTTTCCTGTTAATTGTTTTTACTCCTAAAATATTTGATTGAATGTTTCCAAGTGGAAATCTGAGGAGCCCAGTGAAGAGGATTCTCTTAGGCAATTGGTGGATTCTCTTAGGCAATTGATCGAACCCAGTGATAAATTTCCCAAAGTAGTCTTATGACACACAGTGCATCTATGACACAAAAACTGTAAAGTAAATCACTTTTCAAAAGTAATTCACCTTAAAAATTGATTAAAATTAACTGAATGTTAATTTCTTAGTATTGACAGATATACAACGGTTATATGACATATTCACATTAGGGAAAAATGAACAAAAAGAACTCTCTAAAATATGTTTATGACATTTCTAGAATCTCAAATTATTCTGAATTAAAATATTTATTTTTAAAATAAAGCATGCTGATCTGATTAACTCCCATATATTACATATAAAATGACAAAGCTGTGATATTTATAAATACATTCTCTTTTAAAAAATGATGGAGATACATTCAACAAAGAAAAATACAACCACAACCAAAACAAGCAACCTACAAATTCCTCCCCACTTTTGTTACGTTTATAGACATAAAACATGCATTATCCTTGTTTGAATGGCATGTCTTTGAAAATGTCCTCCCATTTTAGAGTTTCAAATAAAACAAGCATATACTTTTCTACTTAATCTCATCAATTTAAACCTTCATATCTTTTCTTAAAGTACTGCAAAGAGTAGATGCATCATTTAGGGATTGCTAGGTAGAGTGAAATAGGCTGGAGTCAGTATTTATTTTGTTATTGCAGGAGTAGCCTTCTGTTTAAAATGACACCTTCTCTTGCAATTGAAATCTTACTGGCTATGTGGAAAACTAGAAAGTCAGGAATCTAGAAAACACTTGTTGCAGTGGATGTCTTAAGAAGTGTCCTCAGCTTCCTTTTCTCTAGCCTGAGGTTTTGTAAAGCAATCAAGAGCTATTCAGTTTAATGTTTTATACCTAGGTATCATTTCAGTCAGTTTTAATGAATGGTTCACAAAATATCCCATAATTCTTCACCATATTTTAAGCTGCTTACTGAGAAAATAATACTATTGATGACCATTCCAGTATCAAGAGTAAATGGTTTACATAATTATTATTACTTATTCAAAATTGTTTCACCTAAGGCCAGATTCTCATTTACTGCCCAGACCCACTCACACTCACCTACCCACTCCATCCCACCAAAAAAAAAAAAAGAAAATTAAGAGCTGGCGAAGGAAGTAGAATAAGGCAAACAAAGAATTATTGCTACAGCAATTTATAAGAACGCTCAATTATACCCTAAGGGTCTGAGACAGTTATGCAGTTATGCCAAAGTGTCCAATTTACTTTTTCTGAAGAAAAACACTTAGCAACAATGGCTAATTTTAATGAATAAAGAGAATGAATACAAACTAAATATGCAGATGACTTTTAAACAAAAAGTTGCATCCATTTTGCATTACTTTTATATTTCATAAAGCATGAAACCGGCTTTTAAGAAATCAGTATGTTGTCCTGAGAACATGTAGAACAATAGGAAACAACCCCCTTGACTGATTTTGAGACAAGCTACTTGGGTCCTCTCTGGATATTCTAGTACCCTCGGTGTCCGTAATGCCATTTTAGAAGCAGGTATTGATATTAAGGGATGTGTAGCCTACCTGATTTGACCTGATTTTGTGTTACCTTTTATTTCGTGACTGGATAACTAGTGCTGCTCAAACACAGGAAACATACAGCGAAATAACATGAATGTATCTCCTTGAACCACATTAAACTCTCCTTTCTCCAAGCTACCTTGAAATATATAGAATACAATGAGCAAATATATTGACAAGACAATGAGCAAATATATATTAAGTAATGCTATAGGGTAAAATAGTTAGGCCTTCAGTGCTCCTCTAGTTTTATGCCTATTTGTCTTGAATCCTCAATTGAACTTTTAAGGCAGCAAGTGTCTCATTTTTCTTTGCATAACCCATGACATCTAGCAGTGTTCTGGCATAGATACAATCATGCAGTACATATTTTAACAGATCTTAACTAACAATGTACAAAAGCACTGAGAGGGGTGCTTAGTAATTACTTATATATTTTAATTTTCAACATTCTGGAAAGAGATAGTAAAATTCCTAAAGGCTAAGAAACCTCTTGGCAAGTCCAACAGTAGCTTATCCCCGGCCAAATTTTTGGCTTGCTATATGTACTTTTAAGCCTATTAGTTAATAGCTACATGTTTAACAATGTTTTACATAGACACACATTTTATACAAATGTTGTAGTCCCACTACAAATCTAAAGAGTAGATGATCCACTCAAATCTAGCTGTGCTAATGGAGGGATGCATGGTATATAATTAAAACAATGATTTTGAAGCCAATGGAGGGTAACTGGTCCAAAAAGCACATCTAATCATGCAAAATAATTCATTATGTAGACAGTTCATACATGGAAAATTGAGAATTGACTCCCAAGGCTGTACATATGCAACTTCTAAATAAAGTGCTTTAAAAAAATCAAAATTCTATGTAAAAGGTTTGATCTGACAATAAAATGGTTTTGAAGTCATAATGGCAGCCTTAGTTTTATATATGTAATTACACCTTATTATAAATACATTTTATTACATATATATAATCTATACATTTGCATATAAAGTATTTTTTTCATTATAGGTAAATTCATTTCACTGGACGACTGATTAGGAAAGAATTTTGTCTTTGATATACTCTCCCATCCGAGTACTAACCAGGATCAACTCTGCTTAGCTTCTGAGATCAGATGAGAATGGGTGCATTCAGGGTGGTATGGCCGTAGACTGATATACTCCTGTAGAGTTTTCAACTTGAACGATGTTAAGTCAGCCAGGTAATGGCATTTCCCCATACTGTTAAGCCTTCACTGTATCCATGACTTTACTAATAAATTTAGGCTGTGAACTTATGTAATCATGTTTTCCATCAAAAATCTGAAATAGGCTTAGAGCCAAGATGGTGGAACCCTACAAGACTCATTACATTTTAATAAAAAAGCAGGGGGAACAAAGGTGAGAGCACAAAGACTGCAGAACTAATTTCTTTCGGGAACTGACTTATTTTGGCTCCCCAAAATAATATTCAAGTCATTCCCACCATGATAAATAGTTTTTGTCTTTCAAAGTAATGAATAAAGTAATGGAGACTTTATAACAAAAGGCTATACATTATAGTCATGGGAAAATAGTAAAACAAGTATTTGAATGTTTTTTATTCCCAAGAAGATGAATTGTGGCTTAACCCACAGATCAAAAAATATATAGCACAACACTGAAAAAAATTATCATTGATTTTTGGGAAATCTGAGCTAGTTACTTATGATTAATCAAATGAATTAAAATAAAGGTGAAAATTTGAGGAGCAAATGGAAACGGGTAGTGATAATACACATAGTTTATGATGCAAAAATATAAACTATCTCTCATATATTTCTGCTTTTTAATAGTTGTTACTCAGTTTGAACTCATATTGTCTTTAATGTGCCAAAAGACCCTAGATATATCCATGAATGTATAATTGTCTGTGACTCTCTCCAATTTTTCTGTATACTGGAAATTGCCTACCTACTCCACAATATTGTCCTTAGCTCCATTCTCTATGCTAGAGTGATGAGGGAAGGAGGCCTTCAGGAGATTCAAATATCAGCTGTCAAGTAAATGTAAATAAGATAGCAGAAGGTAAAATCAGTCTTTCTGGTCAATACTGGTAACTCTAGTGTAAATTTTAAAAACTTAAATGCTAAAGAATGTATAAATCTAAACTTAGTGTCATTATACTATCTTGAATTTGCACAAAGATTATTGTTTATGTCTTTAATAATCTCAAGTTCTGAAGCAAATGGATGCCATTTTTTTCTATCTATTGGTGTTTGAGTCCATAAACCACAGGTAAAGCAACAGAGGAATAAAACACTGGGAGCAGGGAAAATGGGAGGTAAAAGAGAAGACTAAATAATAAAAGGCACCACTTGATCTAAGTATGATTAAATATTCATTAACGCTGTTCAGCTGTGGATTTTGGTAGTGCTCATAATACTAGAATTAACAGCACTAATTTTGATAGGGTGAAATCTCATTTAAATGTCATTTTCTAAATGGGCAGAGTATAAGTTCTTAAATATTTAAACTTAATATAGACAAAGGCCTAAAGTACTTGGCTACATGCTTTTTTCCCATTTGAAAACTAAAAAGTGTCAGCTAAGAGGGCTTTTCCTATCAATTAGCATTCTGGTTACTGAATCCATCATATAGTTAATTGATTGCCCTTGTACCTTATCAATGCACCCAGATGCTGTGGTATGAACACATTTCATAAATTAAAGAAGCATATGGAAGTGACACAGACAGTAGCATTTCATCCCAGAACATCTTTAATATGCGATGCTACATCACTAATTATTTTGTAAATATGTAAGTATTTCCCTAGTTAATGTGTTGGTGAGAAGTTTGCTTGGCAGTTGAGCCCAAATGTTATTGTAACCAGACATTTAATAACAGTTCAGGACTCTTGTAGTTTCATTCCATTCTGCCCATAAGGAGAATGTGTCTCTTAGCCTACTGGGCAACCTTGATTGTGCAAAGTCAATGAAAATATTTATCCTTTATTACTGGGTAATTTTCCTTAATGAACAGCAGTCTACTCTCCATAATATAAATATCTGTCCAAAGATCGGTCTGGAGACTCTTTCTAAAAATGTTACAGGGAATTTGCCAAGTGAGGAGCATATTGCTGCTTAGTGAATTTTTTTCCATTAATTTCTAAGGATAGAATATGAAGGAAATTGCAGCAGAAATAAGTTGGCTTTATTCTTCAACTTTGGGAAAACTAGTATAATGATCTGAGTATATTATCCTGAATTTACCTTAAGGTACCAAAAGTAAAAATTTTTTTCTTCTTGTCTAAGTCATAATTTCTTGTCAAGCCAAGTTTCAAAAGTTAAGTCAAAAGAACTTTTTTTGAGAATGGAAACTTTCTTTGGAGAATGGAAATTCTCTACATTAATTAATGTATTAATACAAAATCCACTAGATAACTGACAAGTGAGCTGCGGGCAACCCAAAAGATTGCATTTAAACATTTTAAATTTGTGTTTCTGTTACATTTTAGAAGCATGATTTTTGTCAGATTAATTTGCACTTAGGACTGAAAACTGTATCTGGGTTCAACTAGAATTTTGTAAGAGTCATTAAAATCAGAGGATTCAGAAATAAGTTGATTTTCATCCTCCTTCAGTCCTATGACTTTTCTGGGCAAAAACTGTGTCCAGTTCTCTGGGAGCTGGGGGTGACAGAGGGCTTGATGGAGGCTGCTGAGAGATTAATTTCATTTCAGAATTTGAACTGGGTATTGGTCAGGCTCCACGCTGCATGATAAAATCAACAAATACTTAAATAAAATATTCAAAAGTTATTCTGTAAATGGCCATCTATTAAAAAGTCAGAAGGAAAATAATAGTAGATTAGTTTGCATGGCTCTAAACATTTTCAGAATTGAAAACTTATTTAGGGAAAAATTTGGTAAGCCCTATAGATGCTTGAATCATCCAAAGTCTAGTAAATAAGTTTAGTATTAATTGCCACTTTTATATTTCGATGCTACTAACTAAAATAATACAATAGCCTACTGTTAATTTCTCTTCTGCTTTTCCTGAGCTTGGCAAAGAGAAAAATGTGACAAACACCACAAATAGACAACACACCATTTGTAATCTGGTAAAGCAACTTCTATTCATGGAATTTCTTCCCTTTATGAAGCGAGGGCTATCTAATTTAATGAAAATAGTTGTCACCACAGATATGACATTCTGTCTCCTAATTAAATGAAGATGCAATCAGAACTTCCCTTGAAAAGAGAGGCCAGGCTTCCTTCACTATTAAGCACACTCTTCCCTAAGGGCACCCTCCTACCCTTTTTCTGATATGCAATCCCTTCTGTCCTCCATCTGCTCCACCCCCACCTATTGTCTCCACTCACTCCAAGCATGCCAATCCCATCTGGCTATACTCTTGCTTCTGCTAGCTCTAATTCTCCACAGGCCTAGGGAATGTTTGAATGCCAAGGCATTTTTGCTTTTCTCGAGAATAAGGACTAGCTAGGAGGGTATCAAACAATTCCCCAAGGAATTCACACACACATGAACATGCACATGGTCTCTCACATACACAAACAGCAGTTTAGAATCCTCCTCTAGGATATAATTTCTTTAAAAATGTTTTTAATTATTTCATCTGGGAGGCATTTTAGAAAATTAAAATCTTACTATTGTTGAAATAATCAAAATTAATATTTCAGAAATAAACACTTTCATTATCCCAGACACGCATTTTTTTCAGTAAGCAGAATTAATGTAAGTAAATGTTACTCATATCTTATCATGAAATATTTACATTAATCAGGTTTAATCACTGATCACTAATACGTTTTCTGTTTTAGCAAACATGCATTTAATTCAGACATTCCATCTTTACAAATGCTCATGAAAATCCCACTCTGCCACAAAAGCATGCATGGTCAGAATCTAAGCATATTTAAGCAAAAATTTCAGCAAGTCATTAACAATAATAAAGCAGTCTGGCAAGTACTGAAAGCAGCTTTTATTCATGCTTTTACTTGAACTAAGTTAATACATATATACATACATATGCACACACACACACACACACACACAGACACAAGTTTTGGTTGTTTTTGCCACAAGCATGCTGATAAACCCCTGAAGCTCACACAAAGCAGCAGACAAAACTAGAAGCAACCATGCTCAGGGTTTAAGGACATTTTAAAATTTAAAACAACCTTTCCACATTTCACATACAGCGTGCATAAATTTGACATGCAATCTTCAAGAAGAAATATTTTAACATAAATCTTAAAATTAGTTTATCCAAATGAGTTTATTCTTATTTTCATTATTATTGTTTTTAGGCTTCTGGTATCTTAAACCCTGCATGCTGCAGATCTAAGCTGTGCTCAGCAGCGGCTGTGACAGAAGAAGCTACCTGCAAGTTTTCACAGTGCCATCTCATATCCATGTCTGTCTGGCTACCCTGCGTGCTTAGAGCTTTTTTCTTAATTCTTAATGGAAATCCTAGGAAATTTAGTCCATCCTCTGAAATCAATACTGGTGACAGGAGAGCTCCCTGACTCAGTGGGAGATCAAGATGATAAATTGCCTGCGCATCAGCCCGGCCTATCAGTGCCCTGCACACAGATGGGCGAGAAAAGACACAGAAAACGCTCTGTCAGTCACGTGTCACTGAGGAGCCAATGGCTGACGCACTACGGCAGGAAGGGATGCTGCAGTTCCGTCTGCAGTTGACGAGGCTGTTGGTACACAGCCCAGCCCGGCACCACTCAAAAAGTCTCAGCAGTCGTTGCTTTTCAATTTGCTCCCCTAACGAGACCGCATAGGTAAACAGACCTCCCTCTAACCCCCGACCGAAAAAAAGGCTTATTTTCATGCACGAACATTTTCTGTATATTACATTCAAATCCAGTGTGATTGCTAAACACAGAGGGGAAACTTTTTTTTCCCCAGCCCTTAAACTGTTATGTGTTTTTCTTGAGATAATTATCTTTTTACCTAATATTAAATTAGAAGACTTAAAACTGTGCAATTAGCATGGAACCCTCCTAGTAGAATCTCCTCGAAGCCTTGTAATTGTAATTACAATTTTATTTGTAAGTTAATGAATGACATTTTTTGAATGCCAAGTTTATAATGAGTATTTTTATGGGATGAGTTTGTAAAGACAATTATGCAACATTAAGAAATACATTCTTAGGCTTTTTTTTTTTTGGCCAATTACAACTGTTGCTCTTTAAAGACAATTTAAGTCCCAATAAATATGCCATTTTATCAATCATTAAAAATAAAAACAAGCACCAAAAGATGCACATCCTGTTTCCCAAAGCCTGAAGAACAAATGTATTATTCAATGATGAAAATATGTACTTATTTGCTGCCTTTTCTCTGAAATTTACAATAATTATTTGGTAAGCAAAGACTACACATCTGGAATACCATATGGAACTATATCCCCAAATACATCTGTTTCCAGTGATCATACTGTAATAACAGATATGTTTACACACTTCTTCAATGTGAGATGATTATATATAGTTATATATACATATACATACAATTATATATTATATATATGATTATATACAGTCTGACAGGGTAGGCTATAAGTGATGAGACCGGTGTGTGTTTCAAATGACAGTATCACGGAGATTTTTTTTTTAAAGCTCAAAAGTAGCATAAAACAATCTTCAGGAATAAAATTTCTAGAAGAAAAATTACCCTAGCCACCCTGGCACTTTTATTGCTTTTCATTGCCCAGTTTTCATACTATTCATACATTTGAAAGAATTAATTCTAACATCTTTTAGAGTCTGGCAACACTATTTAGAAAAAAAGTGTATTGGAATAAACATTGATAGGTGTGCCTCATAAGTAAAGCTTATGAGTTGTAGAATGCTGAAATTCCAAAGCTCAATTTGTCTTGGCAACTATTTTTTTAAACTAAACACATTCCTGAAAGATTGAACCCTGTCAAGTTTTTTTGCAAATTCTTTCTTTCATTCAATATTGACTATCAGGAAATAATAAAGCATTTTTCAAGTTTTTTAAAATAGATGTTGTCATGTGTTTTTTTCTATTTATTCAGACTATTCAATAATAACGTAATTCTCAACAAACTTTATTCTTAAAAAATATTATGACTCAGAGCACCTGTCATTAAAAACAAAATAATAATAAAACATCAACACTAAACCTATTCATTAGAGCACTGTAATAGCCCCAAACTAGAAACCACCTTAATCACTGATAGTAAACTGAGTAGATAAACTATGATACAGCCTTACAGGTGAAATACTCTTCATCTGTAAAATACAATGTGGTAAATCATATGTCCTTATATGAAGAGATTTCTCAGATACATTTGAATGAAAAAGCCATAAAATTTAAATTGTGTATAGGCTATACTTACTTACATAATACATGCATGTATACACACACAAATGATTGCATATGCGGAAGAATTTTTTTTTTTTTTTTTTTTTTTGAGATGGAGTCTTGCTCTGTCACCCAGGCTGGAGTGCAGTGGTGGGATCTAGACTCACTGCAACCTCTGCCTCTCAGGTTCAAGTGATTCTTCTGCCTCAGCCTCCTGAGTAGATGGGATTACAGGAGAGTGCCACCACGCCCAGCTAATTTTTTTTTTTTTTTGTATTTTTAGTAGAGATGGGGTTACACCATGTTGGCCTGGTGGGTCTCAAACTCCTGATCTCGAGTGATCCGCCCACCTTGGCCTCCCAAAGTACCAGGATTATAGAGGCATGAGCCACCCTGCCCGACCTACAGGAAATTTCTGTAAGGACATAAACTATCAGTTAATAGTGGCCAAATAGTGGCTACATCTGAGGAGACTGAGTTCAAAGGTAGGACTGAGACATAGTTTTATTAGGTATCATTTTATACATTTTGTTTAAGTCTATGGTTTACTTTTCTAATTTAAAATGAATTAAGATAATGTTATCGATGTTCATGTAGGTTTAGAAGAGCATGACTGGTATGTTTTGAGGGAAAATCTTGAGGGAAAGGAAGGAAGACAGAGGGAAGGACATGTGGCCTGCTTTTTTTCATGTAAAGAAAATAGTGTAGGTGTGGGCAAGAAGGGAACTGTAAAATAAAGGTTCTGGCAATCTCTGCTGAAGACCTTCACATCTCATATCAACTTGAAGTTCTTTTATCTATGAATGCAAATAATAATACAGACATGGATTAAGAGCTTTACAATTTAGAGTGACGATTAACCCAAATTTTGTCTGATTCTTCCAGGAACGAATGTAAAAGGCTGAGAAGTAAATGATTTGTATATTTACCCAGACATGGGCAAATTAACCTCTTCAAGCCTTAGTTTTCTCAGCTGGATGCAATTAGCAAAAAGTGGCCAAGCTAAACTTGAATTTCAATTTAGGGTATTGTTCACTGCTGCTTCAAAGGCAAAATAACATCCATGTTTTTACCAATAATGGTGTAGGGCTAAAGACAAAACAAATTTTCACGTGTTTCCTCCCCAGAAGCAGCTTATGTTGTCCAAAACTGAAAACTTGGCTTATAGATTCTATTGTTGGCTCTTGTTGTTATTCAGATTCTTGTAACTTTAAGAGATACAAACCTAAAAAAAAAATGAATTGGCCAAATTAAGTCAAAGATTACAATTTGAATAATTTAAGGGTTTTGGGGTTTTACATAAAAGTGCTGTAAATCAGTGGTTTCGGATGGTGATTTTGCTCCATCCCACCCCCCAGGGAACATTTGACAATGTTTGGTGACATTTCTGGTTGTCAAAACTGGAGGGTGCTAGCAGCATCCAGTGGATAGTGGCCAAGAATGCTGCTAATCATTCTATAATGTACAGGACAGTCCCTATCACAAATAATTATTTGGACCCAAATGTCAACAGTGCTGAGATAGAGAAACCATGTTCTAAATGCTAAACTTTTCTACCTTCTTTCCGAAAGATTAAATAAATATATTCTGTATTATGAAGCATATATTGTAACGTGACAAGATTTAGATGGAGAAGAGAAGGGGACCAAGGACCAAGCCCTGGGTTTCTCCAATTTTAATAAGTTACAGAAAACAGGAAAAAACAGCAAGTGAGGATGAAGAGATGGGAGGACAACTCAAAGGATGGTGACCTGGAAGTCAGTGGTAAAAGTGTGTTAGTAAAGAGATTAGGGTCAATTTGTTCAAATGCTGTGATAGGTCAAGTTATCTGTTCTTCATAGGTTTTTTAAAAGAATTAAAGTGAGAAATTAACCTAATTGAAATTAACAGTATACTTGAAGTCTTTATTGCTCTGCATGATATTTGCATTTTTAAAGGTATGGACAGAAAATGTAGCGGGGCGGTGGCTCACCTGTAATCCCAGCACTTTGGGATGCTGAGTCGAGTGGATCACGAGGTCAGGAGATTGACACCATCCTGGCCAACATGGTGAAACCCTGTCTCTACTAAAAACACAAAAATTAGCTAGGCGTGGTGGCAGGTGCCTGTAATCCCAGCTACTTGGGAGGCAGAGCCAGGAGAATCGCTTGAACCAGGGAGTCAGAGGTTGCAGTGAGCTGAGATTGCACCACCGCACTCCAGCCTGGTGACAGAGCGAGACTCCATCCCCCACAAAAAAGAAAATGTAGTAATTACAGGGATCACAGGAGGACTAGCTGAGGAAATATATAAAGGAGAGGAAACTTCTGTAACTCTCAAATTATAATTCTGAGGCTACTTTCTCTACAAAGGTGGGCTTGTGAGCAAGAAAGTGAACAAATCCTATCTTGGACCACCCTACACCACAGCTTGCATGGGAGACAGAGTGCCACCCTCTCCCCTTAGAAACTATGTCTGCAGTTCTTGTCCTCGGGCTCTCACGAAGTGTCTCTATCCATAGATAAGGTTTCTGAAAACAGAGTTCTAAGGACTAACTTCAGGTGCTTTTCCTCCTGGGACTCCTCTAATGCTAATCCCCACACTGTCAGGCCTGTGGTGTTCAGGGTTAGTGCAGCAAGGCTCAAAGACAGAGCCAGCTGGAGGACTAGGACACTGGAGCAGCTTTAAGCAAAGCTAATGCCTTTGTTGCAAAGGAAATGTTAGAAATCTCACAGAAAAACAGCTGGGGGAGGGAGGGCAGAGGAGAGAGAGAGAGATAGCCATAAAAAGAAAAGAGAGGCCACAAAAAAAAAAAAAAAAAGATGACCACAAACCCATGGATATTATTACAAACTCTATGGTGTGGGAGAAAACTACATGTCACAATTCTCTTAAAACTAGATAGATTTTTACAAATTGAATAGTCCAACTCCTTCGTTTTAGAGATGGATTTTAATGTAGAGAGGTTAAATAATTTGTTTTAAATTTTAAGTGAAAGTGACATTCTTTACCATTCAAAGCAATCAGTGAACCTGATATTGACAAATTTCAAGGTGCTTTCAAAAATCATCATAGATAACAACCAGGGTAAGACTTAGGGGAAGGAGGTCGGGTGCGGGGGCTCATGCCTGTAATCCCAGTTCTTTGGGAGGCCGAAGCAGGTGGATCACAAGATCAGGAGTTCGAGACCAGCCTGGCCAACATGGTGAAACCCTGTCTCTACTAAAAATTCCAAAATTAGCCAGGCGTGGTGGCATGCACCTGTAATCTCAGCTACTTGAGAGGCTGAGGCAGGATAATGCCTTGAACCCAGGAGGTGGAGGTTGCAGTAAGCCAAGATCATGCCACTGCACTCCAGCCTGGGTGACAGAACAAGACTCAAAAAAACAAAGAAACAAAAACTTAGAGGGAGGGGAAAAGTTGATGTTCAGTAAGAGATAAATCTCCAAAGCCTTCTCTTTCCCATGCTGATGCTGTATTAAGGCACGGAGAGCCTTTGCTATCAGGGAGAGGAAGTATTATCTTCCAAAATATTCCAATGAGTATTTATAGGTTATGAAATACAAAAGAAGAAGCCTTGAGTATTCTCCTTTCAGAAGAATTTAAGTGGCTGCTGAAGTTTTTTTTAAATGAAAATTCTCATCTCTATTTGCACTACAGTCATGATGAATAGGATGCATGGATGACTTTCAAAAGACATATGTCAGAAAGTAAACTCCAGTTGACAGGAACTATAGCATAGGGAAATATTTTGGACTGTTTTCAGTTTTTAAGAGATGGGAAAAATAGAAGTGGTGGAAAATCCAAGCAGATTGTCTTAGTTTTTTATTATTTTTCCTTTTTCTCCTTATAATTGAAGCACTACTTTGAGACTATGGAGTACCATTAAATTCCTATTAACTATTAATTTAATATTTGCAAGTATGGATTAGAGATAGGATGGAAATTAATGTCCAAGTGAGTAAAATTCCACATAGTCTTATATTGTTTTTTTGGTTTTTTTTTTCTGCTACTGTATTCTTGTGGGTTTTGTTTTTCTTACTCTGGTTGTTTATCTAGGTATATATGCTTTGTAAAAAGCAAACAGAAACAAAACATCTGTGGCCCCAGGCAATCTTTTCATTAACATTATATCCTAAAAATTATTATGCTAATGTTAAAAATAAAGAAATTGGGACTCAGAGGGATTAAATAACATATATATCCATGAAGCTAGCAACTGAAAGTCTACGACTACATTTTGAATGTTCTCTCCAAATCAGAACTAGCGTTCCAGAATAGTTGTTGTTAAAGTTTATTATGCATAAGAACCAACAAGGCACACGTTAAACATCCAGATTTCTGGGCCCTTCCATGGAGACTGATTCCTACTCTAACTCAGATGGATTCCAAGAGTCTGCATTGTTAACAAACATTCCATCTTCCATACTTTAAGAACCTTGGGACCATATTGGAGTTTCAGCTTCGGAATTCTTCTTTGGGAAAAGCCATATCAACAAGATTTCAATGAATAGAAATGGGAAGCTTTAAAAAAATAGAAAGGAAAGTTGGTAGGAGTAGTTTTTTACCAAGAGAGAAACTGGAGCAGAGAATAGCTTCACAGCAGAGAGGAAAAATGCAGATGACTTAGAGCCATCCATTAAGGGATAGTTTCCCATATTGAGTTAGATAAAGTATGAAGTATTTTAGTTGAAAATATTTTTGAGCAAGGAAGATTAATGTGCATAGAAGAAATGTACAAATCATAGCATTTAGAATAGGATGACCCTTTTGAACCTACAAATAGGGCACTTGGCTGAATTGGTTCCTACCTCCACTGCTGCAATTAGAAACCATGAATGTGCAGATATACAGGCAATGTCATTTTGTATATGCTAGAAAATAATTTATTTTCAGAGGGGTTTTCATATGATGGGTTTCTAGACCTCTAGAGAGAGGTAAAGTTTCCTTTATAAGATGAGAACCTACTGAAGTCAGATGAAAACCTCCCCAATTGCTTGACAATAAATCTTCCCAGAGAAAAGTCCTCAGCCATTTCATGTGAAATGATGACTCATGAAAATGAAATAGTACACTGTACAGAAATCTTGCAATTCTAGTTTTTCTCCTAGCTGACTTCTAGGTTGGAAAGCTTAAGGTCAAAGATTAGTGGTGCCAAAACATGCTCATTTTAGGCTAATCTCTACATTTCCTACTGCCAGTCTCTGACCAGTTTTTAAATTTTCTGAGCTTTTTGGCATGCTATGTATTTCTCTTACTTTGACAGAAGGATGACATACTATTCACTTTGATCCAACCTCAAGACCCAAAGGATAAGGTTAATAAGGAACTGAATCTTTCAGGACAATGCAGTTTACCAAACAGTAGTCAGTGACTAAATATTTTTGGTAACTGATTGATGAAAGCACTCATCAAAAAACCATAGTCCATGGACAAGTCCATCAGAAGAAATTAAGGAAAATTGGAAAAAAGGAAGAATGAAGGGGAGGGAGGGAAGAGGGAAAAGAACTAAAGGAAAAATGAACATAAAACCTTACATGTAGTTGAGGCACAACAATGGACTATACGAGAAACTTTTGGCTTGTCAGTGAATACAGCTTGTCAGGCATTATCAAGTGTAAATCCTCTTCCCCCCCACTTTTCCCGCTCTTGATAATGACCCAAGCAATAATATTTTATGCAACAAGAATGACTTAAATAAGACACCTATGAAGAAGGCCACAGATGACTTCATAACCCTATGCATATGTACATACAGAACCCACATGGAGTGAATGTTGCCTATTAACAAAACTGTGAAATCTGAGTTAGAAACAAAGCTCAGCTTGGACTGAATATATAAAAAAATCAGTGAACAGAAGATATTTTCAAATGGACACTTACATAAATACAGCATTCCAAGGGAAAATTCCAGCCTCAGATGCACTTATTTCATGAAGACTCAATATTTTATAGCAATGGTTTTCCAAAGTTAAGTTGCTTAAGATCTAGGGTGCTTATTAAAAATGCAAAGTGTCTGGACCCACCCTGATCTAAGGAATTATAATTTCCAGGGATGAGAGTGAAAATCTATATGTATAACATGTACTCCAGGTGATCCTGACGTAGGTTGTTTTAGACTTTATTTGAGACACACACTCTCCAATGTACATAAAGTCAAGAACCAGATTCTTCTCCAACCATTTCCTGCAGATAGTCACACCAGCCTTGGACATGCCGGGTCATCCAATTCAATTATTAAACACAATGTCTTTCATTTGGAGAGATAGAAGATTGATAAATCTAGAAAAAGATTAGGAATGATGAGATGAATAGATTATCAATAGATTTCATGAAACAGGTTCGATTCAATTTGGGCCTTGAATGATGGTAGAGTTAATTATTTTGGCAAAGGCATTGAGGTATAAAATGTTTTTCTTTAAAACTGTTAGAATTTATTATTAAAATGATAAACTTCTTTATCTTTTCAGCTGGAGGGCTTAGCAATGCTTCCAGCACATATGAAATCACCAATAACTCTTAGTTGAATTAGTAAATTACATGACCACAAAAAAGTAAATCTACTTAAAAAAAACACACAAAATCCCACCACCTTGACAAAACTTCATGATTTTTGTTGATGATGCTGTTGTTTTGATTTTTATTTCAAATTCTTCATTTCTTATTTGTATAGTTTGAATAGTTATAGTAATAAAGATATAATTTTCTTTGGTTTTATAAGTTATATAATGGCACATACATTTTCCATCTTGATTTAGAATATTCATAATTATTCTAGTAGCAAAAGAATAAATAAAATGGATGTATTGTAATGTACATACCTATTCTGTGTTTTTTAGATAATGGACGCATTTCTATTCTGCATTTCTGCTTTGTAAATAACAATTTTCTTCCTTTGTATTTTTTTCATAACATAAGTGACCATAAATGAGATTACTAGACTAAAGACATAGTGTTTTTATAGATCTTGAAACAATCTGTTAAACTACTTTTCAAAAGACTTGTTCTAATTTTCACATTGTCTCAAGCATGCTATGTTCTATAACATCTTTACTGGCATGAACATGCTGTCTTTTCTATCTGGGGACGCCCTTTTCCCATTTAAATAAAAAATCTTGGTAAACTCCTACACATTGTTTTGTACTAAGCTCAAATGCTATTCTTTCTTGCAGCCTTTCCAAATCCTCTAGGAAGAGTTAGTCATTATTTCCATTGTGTTTCCATAGTACTTTGTAATAATACTATTTGGGACACTTATTCAAATAGCTCTGTGTTTGTTATAGTTTGTATATTTCTTTTCTTTTTCCTAGATTATTAGCAACTCAAGGGATGAGCCGCTGTCCACTTCATCTTTGGAACATCAGCTTCTAGCACAGGGGCTGGTTATATTAGACATTCAATAAATGTTTGTTAAGCAAATGAGGAATAAATGAGTAAATGTCAATGTGATACTCAAGTCAAAATCTGTGGCTGTATGTTGGGTAAAAATGCTTTCTTTCCTTAAGTCTTTTATAGGTCATTTAGTACTAGGAACATTTATATTTTTACGGGTCTTTTAAATTATATTTTTATACTTTTAATATTTATATATTTTGTAGGTCTACATTTTTAATACCTTTGCTGATGACTTTCAGGCTTAGATAGCACAATTCTATGATATGCTGTGAGTCAGATCTTTGAGTCCTTTAGATAATGACTTTTAGGTATTCTGGAATCAGAAAATGTCTTTTTCTAGTTCATACAGAAACAACTTTTGTTAATTAAGTGTTAGGACTAGTAAATAAGATTAGAAACCACCTGTGGAGAACACAGCATGTACATGGCCCCACTGTAGATGGAATAAATGTTTTAAAATAACTGCTGATAAATTATTTAACAAAATATAATCAATAATTATTCTAACATATATCACTGTGCATTTTGTTGCATTACATATATTCTCTCATTTTCTCTCTACCAAAACTGGTAAGAAATACAAAGACTGGACACTGTGGCTCCTTCCTGTACTTTGGGAGGCTGAGGCAGGAGGATTACTTGAGGCCAAGAGTTTGAGATCAGCCTGGGCAATAGAGTGAGATCTCATTTCTACTAAAATTAAAAAAAAAATTAGCTGGGTGTGGTAATACAGCACCTGTAGTCTCAGCTACTCAGGAAGCTGAAGTGGGAAGATCACTTGAGCCTAAGAGGCTGAGGCTGCAGTGAGCTGTGATCATGGCACTGCACTCCAGTGCGGTCAATAGAGTGAGACCTGGTTTCAAAAAATTAAGAAAAAAAAATCAGAAAAAGCAAATACAGACAAAGCAAGTATACCATAAATGTAATTTGAAAGATAAGTAATCTAACACACAGAAATGTGGCTAGCAAGTGGAAAAATCAGAACCAGAATTCACATATTTTAAGCCACATTTTAGCCTTCATTCTAGTAAAATCACTACACCCAACTGAATTTTGCTAATTTCAAACTGAGAAAATGAGATCTGACGTCGTATAAACTAAACAGGTGTTTTAAAAACAAACAGAAACTTCTCTAGCAATAAAAACTTTTTTTCCAAAATAATGCTTATGAATAATTCAATATAAAAAACAATATCAGAGGACTCATATTGAAGTGAGTGGCCAGTGAAGGGGGGCTCCTTTCTCTCCTCTTTTATGGCTCTTGGTAGTTCCTAGAGCTTGCACTCAGGAAAGCACTGTATTGGGCCATTTCTTTACTTAGTCATTCAGTCATTAATACATCTTACAGCCTAACTAGGTACAAAGAATTGTGGGAAAGATAAATACAAGACAAAGTCCTTTGAGAACACACAAACACACACACACACACACACACACACACACGATAGTATATTATAAATGCCACAGAAGTTATATTGCATAGTAGTAAGCATTCTGAAAGTTCAGAGAAGAATGATGTCTAGTCCCATACCCTGGATTGAGTTCCACATGTCCACCTAAGGACACACAGATTTTGTTTCTTATTTGGTGACTTGGTACAAACCATTTAATCTGCCTATTTGGGCATCCATTCCTGAGAAATAAAAGTGATCAATGTTGCCAATCCAATGCATGTAATATGTGACTATAGGGAGAGAATAACTTAGTGGAGAGAATGGGGCAGTGAAATCAGACAGATCTGGTTTTACAGCTTTGGCACTTAGATTGAGCTAGTTAGTTCAACTTCTCTAAGTCACAGCTGTTTCACCCATAAAATGAGAGTAACAGCAATATATACCTTTTGAAAATTTCCATAAGGTATCAATAAGATAAAATATAACACCTAGCAGAGAAACTAGCATAGATTCAATGGTCAATAAATAGCAGAAATCCTTATTAACTATTAAGATGAAGAAGTTACATCTAGGATTTGCATAGACTATTTTGATTCTACGATTCAATAAATTTTATTTTTGACATAACTCATTCACCGTGGAAGAAATTAGTGTTCTATATTTAATGAAGACCAAAGACTTTGGCTTGGTAAATACTATTCTTAGAATTTTCCTCCTTTTCAAGCTGTATAGATTCATGTGAAGCCTGGAAAAGACGCTACTATGTTTTATTTTGCAATGCACTAGATTTTGCTTGTACTCTTTAGAAAATGTTAGGCTTTATTTCAGTCGTCATTTGTGCATAAACTCTAGTCAGATCAAGCAAAAACAATGAAGTCATTAGTGTGCACTGAGTTTAGTCACTTCTTTAAATGCTACATTAATTGCTTTGAGATTCTCTACTTCCACTGTGACAAGCAAGACAAATGGAGTTTACCTGCAGGACACATCACCAGTCACCTTCCCAGCAAGCTGGCTACAACCTCATCTGCTCCTTTTCACTTAAGAAGGCATACTGTCATGCAAATGAGTGAGAATGATAACACAGACAAAATCTTGAATCTACATTGCTTGATATTTACAACAAAAAAAAAATATTCACTCACTTTGGAAGTTAAACCATTATTAGTAATACTGACAACACATTTCACATTCGATGGGGCCATACCAATATGTAACAATTTATGGTACAGAATCACTTCATGGTATGACCCAAGGAAATGTACTTCATTTGTGGAATAATTAAAAGTCCATCCTTTCTGTGAAGAAAATGCTTTATACTCTGAAGACCACTATCATGAATTAAAAAATCCAGTATCACAAATTGTAGACAACCTAAAAGAATGTTAACTTAATAATATGTGACTTCGATCTAAATGAAGTGATAAATTGGCCAGAAACTCAGATGCCACAGGGCACATATGTTACATAAATAATCACATAAATAATCTAGCATTTCTCTAAAGCAGCGATTCTCAATTTTGGTCTTAGATCTTATTGTCACTGTTAAAAATAATTGAAAACTCCAAAGACATACATATTGTTTATGTAGATTACATATGTGGATATTTACTCTATTAGAAATTAAAGGTGATAAAAGTTAAATATTTAACTGATTTAAAAATAACAATAAACCCATTAACATAAATTTAAAAAGGAACTACATTTTCAAAAACATACATTTTAAAGAAAATAATACTGTTTTACATTTTTGCAGATCTTTTCAATATCTTTTAAATTAGAAGACTGGGGCTCATATTTGCTTCTGCAATCTATTGCAATATTTCATGTCATGTAGTCTTTAAAAAATTCCACTGTATCCTTATGAAACAATGAGAATGAAAAGGGTAAAGTTTTTTCTTTTTTTGTTGACATATAATAACTACATATTTATGAGATACAGAGTGATATTTTGATACATGCATACAACATGTAATAATCAAATAAGTGTAATTAGCATATCCATAATCTCACACATTTATCATGTCTTTGTTTTGGGAACACTCAAAGTCCTCTCTTCTAGCTTTTTGAAAATATACATTAGGTTGGGCATGGTCACTCACACCTATAATTTCAGCACTTTGGGAGGCCAAGGCAGGTGGATTGCTTGAGCCCAGGAGTTTGAGACCAGCCTGGGCAACATGGCAAAACCCCATCTCTACAAAAAATACAAAAAATTAGCCAGGTGGGGTGGTGCACACCTGCAGTTCCAGTTACTTGGGAGGCTGAAGTGGGAGGACCACCTAAGCTGGGCAGGTTGAGGCTGCAGTGAGCCACTGCGTTCCAGCTTGGCTGACAGAGTGAGAAAAAAAAAAGAAAATATACATTAAATTATTATTAACCATATTTACCCTGCAGTACTATAGAACACTAGGACTTATTCCTCCTTATCTAACTGTAATTTTGTATCTGTTAGCCAACTTCTCCCTATTCTTACTTCCCCCTTTACCTTTCCCAGCCTACAATTCTGCTCTCTATTTCAATGAGCTAAATTTCTCTTAGCTCCCACATATGAGTGAGAACATGCAGTAAAATTTTAGTATTATTTTGAAAATAATTTTGACCTCACTGAAAAGGTCTTACAACACTCCTTTCCCCTGTCCTAAGCCTTGGCCTCCCAAGACTTCTAGATCATATTTTGAGAAACACTGCTCTGTTTTTATAATATTTAGAGCATATATTATTTATTATTTTTTGTGTCTAATTTACATATATGTCCTATTGTTGTTTCCCTATTTGAAATTTTCCTGATGGAGATCATCATTACAAACCTTAGGTATCACTTTACAGCATGTGGTAAGCCTGCCTGGAACCACAGTGTACCTCAACATGTAATATTGATTCAATGACCCATTGATAGATTGAAGCCTATAGTGTCTTATGGTCCCTTTAATGACCTTTAAAATATGTGATATAGTAGTATTTTTATAGTTTGTCAAATTTTGAGCCCATTATGTCAACATTCTACCTAAATAGAAGGATGAGCTAATCATACATAAATTTATTCTAGATGAAACAACGTTTTTTTTTTTTTGACTCAGCTGTGACTTTTGGAAAAGAAACTAGAATTCTAGAGAAGTTATTATTATACATTTTTTTCCTATAAAATTTATCCTAACATATCAGGCAATATTTTAAGGTCTAATCAATTTATATATTTAGTTGTAATTTCACAATTACAAAACAATTGAAAGCAAAAATATGAAAATCATCAGTTTGAATTGATTTGAAGCTATAGTTTCCTATGTCTATGAGTGGAACAAAAAAAGTAACAAATATTACTTTTATGTGTTCTACTGCCAAATCAGATCCTTTGAAAGGCACCCACTTAGTAACTTGGAAATGAAACATTTATACATTCATCCCTGCTAAATTGCTGCAAAATGTGATGGTTGGGAAATATATATTAAAGAGTGAAACAGTCCTCCTAAATTAAAGGTTTTCTTACATAATAAATAATTTCTTTGACTCTTTGAAAATGGTTCCATTATCTCCTGATCTAGGAAACCCACAGAGAAAGACTTAGTGTCTGCCATTACCTTGGTAATCAGATAATTATTCTGACTATTCTATCAGAAAAAAAAAAAACTGTACATACTGAAAAGAAGACTCTTTCCTGCTAAAATCTGGGTAAACAAAATAGCTGCTAGACTGGGAAACAAAAAGAGGGGTCACAGATCTGAGTTGACTCTTCCTTTTTCATGAGTCATAGGACAGCAGATATACTAGTTGTCTTTTGCTTTCAGAAGAGTTTTACATTACCTAAACTCATGGCTGAATCACAAAGTACATGGCCAGAAGACTTAGTGACTTAGTAACAGAGTTCTCTTAGACATTTTACCCTCCTTAAACTAATTTTGGTCTTGACACAGTTAACTATTAAAAAAAAAAAAAAAAAAAAGCCCTGAAGCCTGCCTATTCACCTCTGATCACTGAGAATGAATTGAATTATCACCGTACAAATAAATTTGGGAAGCAAGATAATGGGAGGGAAAAGAGATGATTAATATTTGAACTGTAAAGGATATATGTCTGAAATTTAATTATTAACAAATGTGCATTGATGCAATTATGTACCATTACATAGCAGAGTTAAGAAATCTAAATTAAGTAAATTGCAAATGCTATAACTAAACTTATAACAAGTTATTTTAAAAATTAAAACTCTCATCAGTTGAAAACTATATCCAACAGAAATCAGGCAGGAATTTCTACCACCTGTTCATATGCATGTACAGTGGGAATCTGAAGCATTGCCCAGCACAATGTGGCAGCCAGACTCTAGATTATTCCATTTGAGTTCTGAGTAACTGTAATTGTATGCTATTTTAAGCTTATGAATGCTAAGATTGTTTAATTCTTAATAAGCTGATAGGTAGCCCTTAATTGCATGATGAAAATCCAAGTCCAATGGCTTGTGTGCCACTTGCCTATAAAAAGCAAATAAAGGACTTACATTTCTGGTTCAGGTTGTAATCCACCAAGTGAAACCTTGGGGTCTTTAAGCTAAGGATCTTTACTTGAAAATCACTGTTTTATAGCTTATTAAATTTCCATGTCAAAAATATCAAAGAAGTCATTCAACAAACATGTATTGGGTCTACTAAGTGGCAGGTCTCTTTAGGACTCTGCAGATGCAGTAGTAGCAAATGTGATAACAAGGCTCTAAGTGAATTCATCTTCTATTTGAAGAAAGTCAGAAAACCAACAGCCAACCAACAAACCGGTCAATGCACTCCAGGGAAAGACCATGAGGAGCATACCTTTACTTGAACAAGTGAGTTTATTAATTGTTGTAGCAAGGAAGAACACACACCACACGGAGCCATGAAGTATCTTAGTAAGATACTAAGTAAGGGCATTAGTAAAGGCATATTAAAAAGAATTCAGGCTTATTCGGTGATTCTGGGGAGGGTTTAAGAAAACAGGACTTTGTTCTGTACTGGATGCTGCCAGAAAGTAGAAGCAATTCTAGGATTGGATAGCTCAATAAATCTTATCTATAGCAAGAGCAGACTAGAGTGAGAATAAAGTTATGATTGGTAGGAAAGTAGTATTCAACTTAACCAATAAGATGGTTTGACATTTTGTGGGTTATATAGTGACACCAATTTTTATCTGTTTTTTAATGAAAAAATGACATAGCATTATTTTCACTCACTTTATTATGGTCTTAGTGTGACTGTGTTTCATGTTGGTACTCTATGAAGTTATTTCTCTCTAATGGGTGAACAATATCATCTACCTGTGGGCTCCAGGCCAGCTTCTAACAATGCTGAGGCCTCACTTACGGATTAGATCAGTTCCCAGACAACAGGGGCTACTTTTCCCTTTCAATCATGCAACCAGCCAAGCAATAAATTTAAAAAAAAAAAAACTATCAAAGAGTGATAGAACATAGTAAAAGGGATGGCCCTTTATATTGGGTGTTCAGGGAAAGGCTGTTAGATTTGAACAATCAGAAGGAGCCAACATATGACTACAGGGGGAAAAACATTTCTGTCCCAGTGAATAACTACTGCCAAGGCCCTAAGATAAGAAAGAGTCTGAGCATCAAAAGAAAGACAGTGTGATCTAAGAATGATCTAAGAGCACAGCGAGGAAAGACAAAAGGAAGGAGGGAGAGCCAGGTGGCCAGATGGAAGTTGTGTAGGGTAGGTAGGGTATTGTGACTTTATTCTATATATGATAGGAAATCATTGAAGGTTGTAAGAGCAGAATAATGACATAATTTTATTTATATATTTAAAAGATCATCCTGTATGTTCCATGGAGAAGCAGAGATGTGAGTCAGGAGGTTTTGCAGTTTAGGCAAGAGATAATAGTGGCTTGCCACAGGTATTGGTGGTGGAGAAGGCAGAGCTGACTGTTCTGAAGTCAGTGTTCATAAGACTTACTGATAACATATCAGTAAGTAATTTGGGAAGTGAAAAGCAGGAAGAAATGAGTGAAGGATGATCTTAATAGTTACTTGGTTCTTAATGTCAGTGATAATCTTATTCATCATGTTATTCCTAATACCTGATTCACAGAGGGCACTAGATATAGAATGAAAGAATACCTTTTGTAGCTAATGTTGGCACTATTAGCAAGCTTCAAAAGTATCTGCATTTATTAATCTCCAGTTGGGGTTTGGTTCCTAATTTCTTCTGTTGATTTGCAGTTAACTCAGTGGTGGTAGCAAGGTACAAAATACCCCAGGACTACACAGAACAACACAATCAAGGTAGAATTGACACAAATAACTCCTAAGAAAATGTTTCCTACATATAGAGTAAATAATTTACTAAACATGCTTAAAATAAATAAATTTGGAAAAAAATAAAATAAATAGAAAACTTCCTCAAATTGATAAAGAACATTCTTAAAAACTTATTACTAACATCATATGTAATAGTGAGAAACTTGACACTTCTCCACTAAGACTAGAAACAAGACAAGGATATCTCCCTTTCACCAACTGTTTCAACATCATATGGGAATTACTAGCTACTGCAATAAGACAAGAAAAAAATAGTAGGAATACAGATTCAGAAGGAAGAAATAAAACTATCTTTGCTTGCAGGTGACACAATTGTGTATGCAGAACATCTGAAAGAATCATAAAAACCTCCTGGAACTAGTAAATGATTATTGCAAGGTCACAAGATACAAGTTTAATATATAAAAGTTAATCTCTTTCATATATACCAACAATGAACAAGTAATATTCAAAATAAAAAAAACATAATAACATTTACATTAGCACCCCCCCAAAATGAAACACATAGATGTAAATCAAACAAAATATCTAAAAAATAAGTAGTTTTCTTCTATATAAGGAGAACTACAAAACCTTGAGGAATGAAATCTAGTAAGTAAATAATGGATAGAACTAAATAAATGGATATTCCATGTTCATTATTATTGTCAAAATGTCAGTTCTTCCCAACTTGATTTATAGCTTCAATGCAATCCCAATCAAAATCCTGGCAAGTTATTTTGTGGATGTTGACAAACTGATTCTAAAGTTTATATGGAGAGGCAAAAGAACTGGAATGGCTAACAAAATATTGAAGGAGAAGAACAAAGTTGAAGGACTGACATCATCTAACGTCAAGCCTTACTATAAAGTTATAACATTCAAGACAGTGTGGTATTAATGAAGGAATAGGCAAATAGATTAATGGAAGAGAAGAACCCAGAAACAGACCTAGATAAATATAATCAACTGATCTTTGATATAGAGCAAAGGTTACATAATAAAGCAAAGATAGTCTTTTCAACAAACGGTGCTAGAACAACTAGACATCCATATGAAAAATAATTTAGAGACAGACAATTGACAAACATTAACTCAAAATGGATCAAACCCTTAAGTGTAAAATGAAAAACCATAAAACTCTTAGAAGACGACACAGGAGAAAAACCTAGATGACCTTGGGTATGGCACTGACTTTTTAGATACAAAACCAAAGGATGATCCATGAGAGAAATAATTAATGAGCTCTACATCATTAAAATAAAGAAAAAACTTTTGGACCGGGTGCAGTGGCTCATGCCTGTAATCCCAGCACTTTGGGAGGCCAAGGTGGGTGAATCATGAGGTCAGGAAATTGAGACCATCCTGGACAACATGGTGAAACTCCGTCTCTACTAAAATACAAACAAAAAAAAAACACCCCAAAAACAAACAAACAAACAAAAAACCAATTAGCCAGGCATGGTGGTGTATGCCTATAGTCCCAGCTAGTCGGGAGGCTGAGGCAGGGAAATTGCTTGAACTTGGGAGGCGGAGGTTGCAGTGAGCCCTTCCTGCCTAGCAACAGAGTGAGACTCTGTCTCAAAAAACAAAAACAAACAAAACAACAACAATACTTCTGTTATCTGAAAAACTCTGTTAAGAAAATGAGAAGACAAGCCACAGACTAGCAAAAAATACTTGCAAAAGACCTATCTGATAAAAGACTGTGATCCAAAATATACAAAGAACTCGTAAAACTCAACAATGATAAAACAAAAAAAGGGCCAAAATCTTAACAGACACCTGACCAAAAAGAGATATAGATGGCAATTGAGCACATGAAAGATGCTCCACATTATACACCATCAGGGAAATGAAAATTAAAACAACAGTAAGATATCATTACACGCCTATTAGAATGACCAAAATCTGGAACACTGACAACACCAAATGCTGGCAAGGATGTCAAGCAACAGGAATGCTCATTCATTGCTAGTAGAAACGCACAATTTCACAGCCATTTTGGAAGAGAGTTTGGCAGTTTCTAACAAAGCTAAACATACTTTTACCATACAATCCAGCAATCACTCTGCTTGGTATTTACTCCCAAAAGTTGAAAACTTACGTTCACACAAAAACCTGCAAAGAGATGCTTATAGCGGCTTTATTTATAATTGCCAAAACTTGGAACCAACCAAGGTATTCTTCGGTAAGTAAACGGGTAAATAAATGGTGGTACACCCAGATAATGGAATATTAATCATTATTTTAAAAAATGAGCCACTGAACCATAAAAAGACATGAAGGAATCTTAAATGCATATTACTAAGTGAAAGAAGCCAATATAAAAAGGCAATAATATGGTATAATTCCAACCATATGACATTCTAGAAGAAGCAAAACTACAGAGACAGTACAAAGTTCACTGGTTGCTAGGGGTTTTATGGATAGGATGAATAGGCAGAACATAGAGGATTTTTAGGTCTGTGAAAATACTCTGTATGACACTATAATAATAGATCCATGCCATGATATATTTGTCCAAATCCACAGAATGTACGACATTCATGTAACCTCTGGCCTTTGGTTGATTATGATGTGTCAATGCAGGCTCACCAATTGTAACAAATGCACTACTCTAGTGGAGGGTGTTGATAATGAGGGAAGCTATCCATGTATGGGGGCAGGGAGCATAAAGAAAACCTCTACCTTCCTCTTAATTTTGCTGTGAGCCTAAAACTGCCCTAAAAATTGTCTTTTGAGAAATTAAAAGACATTTAGAAATCATGGAAAAAATAGAAAAACGTAAGGCAATTGCTCATCATAGCAGATAAAAAATCCAAAGGTTCTGAATTCTGTCCCAAAATACCCTCAATAGGGTGTCCACCTTTACCTCATTAACTTATTTGAATGGTACATTTGTATCTCTTGAAGAACTCTTAGAAGAACTGGCTGTGGTGATGTTTTCTGCCTTCTGTCAACCTTTCAAAATCACATGCCCATCAGATGGCATTCTCAAATTTCCTGCCCTGTACCCCAAGAGAACTGTCCTCAGGAACAATACAGAAACTGCCTAACTAAGTATAGTCAATAAACCACTGCTTCAGAATCACACCGGGGATCCTCTGTTTCCCTTCACAAGCAGAGTCTCTCAGGAAGCAGTAATGAAGCATAGTACGGGGGTGCTCCTCCTTAATGCCTATGAAGACTCATAATTGGAACCCAAACTTGCTCTTCAATGTGTTGATGACTCTGCAGACAAACCTGGGCTTCTCTGGTGTGCTTTCTTATTGTGGAAACCAACAGGTCAAAATATTAATATGTGCAGGCAGAAATAGGTGTAGAATATAAGCAAGAGGCCTCTTTCTTTCTCTATTGGTATGTTTGAAGCAATATGACTAATAGACGAATCCAGTCTGTTTTAGAGGTTTAGTTTGGGAAAGTCCTTGTAAGGCATTAAAGGAGTAGTTTTAATTCACAGATAATACGACACTCAGATACAATGCCAGAATATCCAAAATAATTTATTGCATTCTACACCCATGGATTCCTGAAGGTTAGAGTATATTTAAACTACACCGGTAAGAGTTGTTGGGAAAAATACAAGTATCTCAGAGATCACATGGTCACAACCTACCTATAAGGACCTCAAGCCATGTAAAAACATCACAGCTGAGGGAACTACTTCAAGGAAACAAAGACAGAACATGGTCATCCTAAACCCCAGAGGCAAACTTACAGCCATTAAATAGACTCCTTTGGCCAGTCATGCTCATTCATTCTCATTTAAAATAATTATTTGATGATACAGTCAAACAAGAAAGTATTCTGCTTTTTGTAAGGCAAAAGGTGAGAGTGAATTTCTAGAAGTTAATAAACAGGTTGGTAGTTTTCTTCCACTTTGCTCATAACATCATGGAAAAATCACTGAAGTGTGAGAAACAGGATTCTGTCACACCAGTGCCTCACATCCAATGCTGCGAGAGAATGAAATATTGACAATTTAGGTGTAGTTCTCATAATTTCACCCAACTCAAAGGAATGACTGAAACACTCCTTGATAACAAGAAAACACCTGAGGAAGGGAGAGAAAATAATCATTCTCTCCAACCTTCTTTGCACCTTTCGATTTCATATAGCTAAGGATACACATTTCTCACAGTGATTGAAGAGGGTGGCAACATCTGTCAAATCTGTAGAGTCAAGACATGAAATTCAATTTTAAATTCTCAGTAGAGGAGAAAAATGAGAGAAAGGTAACTTGTAATTTCTTCCAATTAGATATACAGGAATAACTAATTGAAATGAATGTTTTATAAAAAACCTTCTTTTACTTTTTAAAAACTGAATTTCTACATTTTAATAACATTGTCATGTGTAATTATAGGGGTGTTGAAATTTTGTTTCCTCTTTTCTGAGCCCTAAGTTTGCCTTCTGAGAGAAAATCTTGAAAATGTAGTCATATTTTAAAAAGTGGTAAAGCCTACTACTGTTCATATCATTTTCAACCATCAGTAGACCTTAAAGATAGGAAAAGAGGCCGGGCGCGGTGGCTCACGCCTCTAATCCCAGCACTTTGGGAGGCCGAGGCGGGCGGATCACGAGGTCAGGAGATCGACACCATCCTGGCTAACATGGTGAAACCCCGCCTCTACTAAAAATACAAAAAATGAGCCGGGCGTGGTGGCGGGTGTCTGTAGTCCCAGCTACTCGGGAGGCTGAGGCAGGAGAATGGCGTAAACCTGGGAGGCGGAGCTTGCAGTGAGCGGAGATCCCATCACTGCAATCCAGCCTGAGCGACAGAGCGAGACTCCGTCTCAAAAAAAAAAAAAAAAAAAAAAGATAGGAAAAGAAAGAAAATAGCCTGTACTTCAAGTATGAAAGCACCATGCTGGATAGTAAAAAAAAAAAAAAAAAAAAAAGAAAAAAGGATTTAGAGAGCCTAAGTGTATGCCCCTTGGGTCTCATGACTCTGTCAAAATGACAGGGTGATTTCCAGAAATTCATTAATCCTTTCAATGAATATTTACTGAGCATCCACAGTGAGCAGTGATCTGCACAGGAAGCTAGGAGTGGGATGGGGTGAGTATGATGTACAATGATAAATGAGACACAGAAAATGCCTTTGAGGACCTTATGGTGTAGAAGGGGAGAACACATACTTTCTCCTACCTTGTATTAAAATTATTTGTGTGTGAGAGTCATGAGAAGTATAAATAAGGTATTATGAAAGTTCACAGAGGTAAAAAATTAATTCTTACAGGGAGGAATTGCAGAAGTAGAAATAACTGTCTTTGCCTGGAAGGATGAAAAATCTCAGGACATGTAGAGAAGGTAGAAGAACATTTTCTTTGAAAGGGATGGGATAAGCAAGGACATTAAAAAGATAGCATGGTGTACCCACAAATCATTCAGTTTACCTGAATCAAGAGGAGGACAGGAATGGAAAGGAAGATTGGGGATTTACATAGTATGGTAGGCTAAATCCATCTACTTTCTAATCTCTGGAATTTTTAAATAAGTTAACTGACATGGCAAAGTCTTTGTAGGTATAATTAAGACTCTTGAGTTGGAGATATTATCCTGGATTGTCTGGTGGGCCCAGTGTAATGACAAGGGTCCTTTCAAGTGAAAGAATAAGGCAAAAGAATCAGAGTCAGAGAGAGAGCTATACTAATGGAAGCAGGGATCAGAGTGATGCAAGGAAGGGGCCATAAACTGAGGAATGCAGGTGGCTTCTAGAAAATGAAAAAGACAAGGTAACATATTCTCCCCTAAAGCCTCCAGAAGGAATGCAGCTGCCCTGCCCATCCATGCTAGACTTCCAACCCCTAGAACTGTAAGCAAATTTATTTGTGCTGTTTTAAGCCACTATATTTTTGGTAAATTGTTACAGCAACAGGACACAGATATAGAGTGGAATGTTTTGAATATACTACATCTTAGTCCAAATAATTATTTATCCATTCTCTCTTGGTGTACCTCAACTTTTACTTATTATTTCATTACAACATTTATGTTGTATTTTTTATTTTTATAAAATATATTTGCCTGTCTGCTTCGTTTGAGTTATAAAGAAGGTGAAAGTACTACTAACAGAATACAGAAAACCCACAAAGAGAAAAATATTTAAAAGCAAGATGCTGAAATCTTTTTCGAACACAGTACGTTTGAAATACCAATGGGTCAACACGGTGGGTGGACAGTTGGAGATGGAAATTCATGCCTCCTGCTTGAAGATAAGAGCGCATATCTCTTGGAAGCAATTACAAAAATTTATTATAGCTCACAAAAGAGAATCATTGAAGTGTGACTATTGACCATTGGGAAAATTTAAATAGTATGTATTCATGAGAAGGGAATTATTTAATCAGGGTATTTTGACATAGGTTGCTGGAAGAAGTGATTTTATATTAAGTATTATTAGCTAAAATATTATCATTTTAACTACCTGTGATTACCTATAGGCAAGGCATAAGGCAATCTACTGGAGATGAATTCACGAATGGAGAAAAAGACCTTTTAAAGAAAAGTATGTCATCTACAAGTTTCTTGGTTTTTGAAATATCTCTAGCAGGACATTAATCCCTCAACTTCTCAAGTATTTTCTGAGTATCTACTAGTGCAAGGTAAGGTCCTTTATTCATTTTTATCCTAACATAGCCTTTGGCTTTGAGAAGCTTATTGTCTCCTTGCCATGTAAAGTTGTGTACTTCCTCAAAATACTAGAAATTTAGAATTTTCCTAAATTATGATTTTCCCCAAGGGTATATAAGTTTTAAGTCTCAAAAGCATACATGGCCTATCTTACAGCCTGTTCCTAGAGTTCATCTCTCTAAGATGAGTCTGAGGTCACTCTCTGCCTGGGAATCTGAGGAAGCTGGGCCGCCGGGGTGCAAGGGAGACTTCACATAGGGAAAGGAGGCAAGGAAGGCTTAAAGTGAGGGCAATAAAAATAACCTTTACCTGTTTCAAGTCTTGGGTTGGCCCAGACTACCACCACTTCAGGGATTTTTATAAAATGCTGCTGCATTGCTTTTGCTAAAAGAGAGCCAGGTCAGCAGAGTGGGATGACCTTTCCCAACAGAAATGCCATGATGTTTAGCCATCAAGCAGAAATTTCAGGGACAATAAGATACTGTAGTCTGCATGCTTTTATCCCAAAGTGAAAACCATAGAGGTCAAAAATATGAGTTAAGGGAGGAAAGAATTAAAACTTTTACCTGCTCTAAACTCTGAAAAGATGATGGTGTGTTCATCCCTGAACCTTGTCTCAACACAATTTCAGAGAACTATAAATGATGCCTCCTAACAGACTACTATATGACCCGTGACTCCTGAAGTAGTACAATGAGAAGGATAACCTTCACCACTTGCAAATCTTAATGCCCATGTATATACACATGTACATATTTTTAATTGTAAAATGTGTGTAATGAATTCCCTTCAAGATAGGGAGGATATAATTTCCCATAATATGTACTTGGTTGCTTTTTATATTTTTTTAGAAACGTCAAACTTTTTTCAAAACTTTTTTTGGAAATACCCAGTATTTTTTTGCTACCCAAAACACATGTGAATTGGAGCATACTTCTTTATGTAACAATTAAAATGTAAAATGAACCAATTTTTGCTGAAAAACCAATCTGAAATGCAGTATTCACTTCCCTGCCTTCTTAATCAAAGGATGATGGACATAATTTAACCTTTTTAAAAAAAATAATGTCATGGCTTTCATTATTATGAATGATAATTATTCTACGTCGCTGCGATACACAGAGACCCTTAGGGATTGCTGTGGTGTATGGAGCTTCTTGCCTACACGAAGTAGTGTAGGTGCTTTTTGTTTTTTCATTTTGAGCCAGCTGTTCATAAATTTTTCTCTGTCTTTTCTCACTGGCATGCTGTATGTGGGTTGCCTTTTTTACTACTGTCGTTGTAGTCAGTCTTCCTGCTTCCATCAACTCCTAGCCAAACAAAGCAAGACATTCCCAGTGTGCCAAAGCTCAGGCAAATTACCTTGTACTAGCATTTTAGGCCGATGCTTCTCGTACTTTAGTGTACTACAATTAATCTGGGGATCTTCTTAAAATTCAGATTCTGCTTTGGTAGCTCTGGAATGGGAACTAAAAATTTGTGTTTCTATCAGCAACCAGGTGATGCCTTTGCTGCTGGTCTTTGCAACACACCTTGAATAGAAAGATATTAGCTATCATGACTTTTTAGAATTGTGTCTAGATTAAAAGAAAATTTGTTTTGAGGGAGTGATTGGCTACTCTCCTATAAATAAGATCTAAAAATTTAGAATATGAATTTTAAATATGCTATCTCCAAAATGACTTTCCTTATCTTTATATCCCTGACACCACCACATAAACATATTTCCCTTCTCTATACTAATATAGCATTTAATTTCTTCCTCTCTTATGGAATTTATATATTTATAACTTATTATTTAGATATAAGTCAAGTACTGAACATGAAGAGGAACCAAGTCTTACATATCTGTATTTTTTGAAACTATACCTTGCTCAAAAATGGTTGTTGAATAACTGTAGCAATTGAAAGCTATAAGGTTCTTTCCGTATAATTTCATATTCTTTGTTGCATCAATTTTTCAAATAAGTAATCAGGAAATGAGACAATAGTATAATAAATCAGTATAAATTTCAAATTAACTGTTAAGAAAGTAAAACATGTTTTCAGAGTTCCTGCCTCTTTGTCGTATACTTATTTCTTCAATTTGCCTCCTCCCACCACACCTCATAGAACACACAAATAGATATAAAAGCACATACAATCTAAACATATATCATCTTCATATTCTTTAATTTCTAAAACCTTATTTCAAGAAAGGGCCTGGAATTAACTTACACTAAAATGTAATGACTAACTGCAGCATAAAGTATATTTCCTACCTTCACCCCAAGAAGGGCTTAAACGTTTTAATAGAAATCAAAGCCTACATAGTGGAATGAAGCTGTGGAAGAAGATTTTTCGGTTTTTAATCATAAAACAAAAGGTATATTAAATAGAACCTCTCCTAATACTCTCACATTGGGTGATGTTTGCACTGAACTTCCCCTAACTGAGAATTGCTAATCCACAGCTTTCCTGCACCTGGGCTGTAAAGTTGCTACATAGTGATAAACTGCTTGTATCCTGATATGATGAACTAATATGCACAGAAAATCCTCACTAAAAGTGCAAGCTATAGAAACAGTCAAGGCTAAAGCAGGGCAAACACAAAAGTCAATTTGGCAGCTCATTTGAATCTACATTGTGCTTCTTTCCAATGGCAGACAGAATTTATCATCTACTGGAAAAGAATAAAACAAAGCCCCAATTTCCATTAAACATTTGTGTAATAAAAAGAAATGGAAATTATATAACTAGAGATAATTCAAATATGTAAATAAAATTGTCAATGGAAGCAGACATCATCATAGCTTTTGAGTTAATATTATGTGATATCCATTTTACTAATTTCATCCAGCACACAAATTTGCTACTTATCTCACACCTCTAATTAAATTAGTGGCCACCTACATGAAATTCAGAATGCACTCAATAACAGGTGCTTAGAAGGAAAAAGTGAGGCATAAAATAAGATAGTCAACATAATTTACACAGATTTATATAAAGTTGCTCTGCATCAACATATTCCTAAACAATAGAGATTAATAAGAATATGACTCTAGATAATAGTCCCAGAGTCTAGAGTCATTTCTCTTGTTAACAGGATATCAATGTGGTGAAAAGTGTACAAAGGGTATCTGGATCTGCCTTTCCTGACTCTGTAGATTGTTCGCTGTGAAAATGGCTAGGATCAGCTGAGAAATCTGAGCATAAAACTGGTGAGCAAGGCAGGCTGGAGGTACAGATGAGTTCTGGCTGAGATGCGGTGCAGACAGCTATAAAATGAAGTTCTTACAGTATTTGCTTTCTTGGTCATCCAGGGGTTGTTCAATTGTGAAAGTCAGACAACACGGCCTTAATTTCAGATAAGATAAAAGTCATAAAATTGTTATTTTCTTCCCACAACAAAACAAACCCAACAAGTCAGCATATTTTGCTCAAAAGGAAAGAGAGAATAGGTACTAGCTTGGCAGTGCCTTACAAATCTCAGACCATTGTAGTCAGTGGCTTTAGCATCAAAGGGACCTGGGTTTGAAGTCACAGCCCAAGAAAGCATGGCTGAGCTATTTAACATCTCTAATTTCAGATTTCAGTGTCCTTATCACAAACTGTGGATGGTAATCTTTATCTCACAGAGAGGTTATAGGATAAATAAAATAACATTTATGGATTGCTTAGCAAAATGACTGCTCAATAAATAGTATTTATAACTGCTTACATTGAAGACAATCATACTGAAGTACAAATTTTATGATCCCTTCCAGTTTATCTGAAAATTAAGGAGATGAAGTGAATGCATACTAAAATTCTTTAATCACCAGGGGCTTAAATATTAAAGTATGTAAAGCATTTAGGGGGTATATAAAAGAGTAAGCTATTATCACAGTGAGCCACAGAATGTGTTAAGAAGATAGACTCTGGGGCCAAATTATCGCATTCACATACCTATTCTGCTGCTGCCCAGCTGCGTGCTTTGGATGAGTAACTTAAATGCTCTCTGCCTCAGTTTTCTCATATGTAAAATGAGAATAATAACATTTAATTTTTAAATAAGGTAAAAACGAAATGGGTTAATAAACATAAATAAGAGATTGGCACATACCAACTTCTACGTATTTACATATATATGTTTTAGAGCACACACATACTGTTGTAAACAGACCTTAGACTGATAAGTAATTTCTGCCTCCTATATCTACATCTTATTGGAATTTTCTCCCTTTAAGCGTGGACATGACCTGTGACAGGCTTCTGGCCAGTATAAAATGGCAAATGTTAGGCTATGTTATAAAGACTCCATCTTAGGAGAAAGGAGTGCCAGACTCTCCTGCTGGCCTTCAAGAAGCAAGCTTCTTGATGCAAGCTGCTAATGGAGAGGGTCCTATGGCAGGCAGCCTCTAAGAGTTGAGGGCCTCAGTTCTCCAACCAGAAAGAATTAAGTTTTATCAACAACCATGCAAGCTTGCAAGAGGGCCCTGAGCTCTAGAAAGGAATGCAGCCCTGCCAATTCTGTGATTGTAGTCTAGTGAGAGCCAAGCAGAGGACTTAGTTAACCTGTGCCCCGACTTCAGTCAGACCACATGAACTGTGAGATAACAAATGTGTTGTCTAGAGCTTGTAAGTTTGTTGTCATTCATTACACAGCATAGAAAACTAATACACATACTTCCATATAGAATTCAGAGAAAAGAAAGGGAGGAAACGAAAAAGCTTATTTTCTCAGTGCTCTGTCTTAGTTTCAGGCTGAGCAGCCTTGACCTGGCCAGTCATTGCTGAGTCTATCATTGTAAAGTACATTTAGGACAGAAAGATCTTACTCTAGTCAAGATTTCTCCTATAGGCCCTATTTTAGCCTCTGGCCTTCATGAATGGCAAGAATATTAGGATGTCAGTGATAGTTGTTTTTCCAGCTTCAGATTCCAGTTAAGGAATTTTAGCAAAACAATATGAACTAGAAACCTTTTTGAGAGTGGGAATGAGAGATCAAAATATTTGTCTTTTAACGTCAAAGTTTACTAGGTTTTGCTGACAAAACTAATCTTATGTATTACTGGCTTTCTGATGAGCTTCTGTCATCCTTCCCTCATTTTTCTGCCCTGCTCTGTCCGCCATTCCCGAGAAATAGACTAGGAGTCAAGGGATCTGTGTACAAGTTTAAGCTTGGCTTGTAGTTAGTTGTATGACTAAAGATGATAAAGATGAGCCAGCTCAACTCTCTCTTCTGTTGACCTGAAAGTGTTGGGATGGGGGAAAATAGATGAACAATAAATGAAAATAAAGTTCTTGAGAAAAGTTACAAGGGCAGAACAAATACATGACAGTAATGTTACAAAACAGTCTTGAAACCTCAGAGGAATCTAGGCAACTCTTAAAAAGCCTCAAGCCCTTTCCAAAGTATGAACCTGCTTATGATTTAGAGTCTGGGCCAAAAGATTTATAGGATTTGAGAAATGAGAAATAAGTTTTTCTCTCTTAGACAACTCCTATATAAAAGCAGTGGTTTTCGAGATAGTTATGTTCTAAGGCTTGGTGGATGAGAATACCCTGATTAATTATGCATCAATATGGAATAGGGTCCATATATACCACTTCTGTCATTAGTCCCTTCTGTACCTACAACAGGTACAGAGATGAGAGATCAGAGGCTTGGGGAAGAGAAATAGCTTGTTAAGATTATAGAGCTAGTTACTTTCAGCTGTGGGACATAATTACAAAGGAAATTTGTACATTTGGTTATTCTTGTTAAGTATCTCTATTTGTAATGCCAAACACAAATTTTTGCTACTTCAAAAGCTGTTTTATTTCTTAAATTTGTGATGTCTCTATTATATTTTGCCAATGTGAGGAAATGAGTGTCTAATCTTGTCAATGTAATATTTATTCTCAATTCCTGCTATATTCATTCCTCCTAATTTGAAAGTTGATAAAATCTGTTGGCAACCTCCTTGAAGCTGCAAAGCAGTTACTCAAAACAATTTTCAGAATGTTCAGTATAAATGGGCACATGAACCATTCTTGAAAACCGATGTGCCTTTTTGCTTCACATGTTTAACTAAAGTCGGTTATAAATTTTAAAATTATTTATTTAACTTTTTCACATCCTTGTTTTAAAATTTCCATACCATAATACAGTGTTCTTTCAGGATCACATGTGAAATAGATAATATTTCCAACATTTCATGAGGAGCTATGGGGAAGAAATGATGAGCAATTCCATAAGGCACTGATAGACATAAAATAAGAGTACATACTTTCATGTCATTCCAGATAGAAATATCAAAGATGGAACATTTTCCTTCCCCTTGACTTAACAGATGCCCACTCTCATTTAGAACTATTTCCTGACAATGAAATCTAGTTGGAGAGATACAACATAATAATTCAAACACATTGAAATAAGTTTTGCACTGAGGTAAAAAAGCCACAGGGTATGAAAAGGCATGGTGTAGTTGGTGAAAGGGAGGTGAGGTATTACTTGAGTAAAAAGTTTACATTGGTGGGGTGGCAGAGATAAAAGAAGATGGAGATAGAGATAGGCAGGAGTTAGATCATAGTGAAAGTCTTGTAGTTATTTTAGGGAACCCAGGAAGCTTAAATCTATCAATCAGGATAGTGACAGGGTCAGATACATATTGTAGAGACACTCTTGTGAGTAAGGAAAGACTCATTTATAATAAAATATTTGTGGTAGTCCATATGATTTGGTCATTCTGCAATACATTTATCAATATCTCAAAACTCACAAGAACATGTAAGCAAAAGTTAAGGTATATATAGAGAGAGTGGAAGAATCTTTAGTATTCTCTGGTGTCAATTTGTATGTGATTTTTAAAAATTGTTTTTGGAAGCATTTTATTTTCTGTTTAGTGGTTGCTGTAGTTTTCTTGAGTCTTCTCCCTACTGCTAATTTAGGCTATTTGGCATATTCAGCCTCATGGTTGCAAAACTGGGGTTTTAATATTAAAACTTCCATTGTTCATTTAGATTTTTCCTTCTGAAAATTTGTAGAATTATTCAAGGCAATCTTTTATATACACTTTCTACCTTCCTTTGCCTCCCAAATCAACAACCTGAAGGTAGGCCGAATTAATACACACTAGTTGTGGTAATAATGTAGTTAAGTTGACACTGTGAGCTGTGGTCTAGGCAGAGAATGTTACGTGCAGAGCTTCTATTGTCTTCTTTCTCCCAAACACAGTGGTAGGTTATTCACATTCATTCCTTGCTACACGCATCTAGTTAAAATAACTTAGACTTTTTCAGGAAAGACAAACTGAGGCCAAAAGCTATTGCTCATCTCATTGCTAAAACTCTGGCAACATTTTCTGAATTCCACAGATCCACAGTTTGAGAAGATGATTGTTTAACTTGTGGCATCATGAGGGCCCAACAGTTTAGAAAACAGTGGGACAGCCTGTTGCCCTGCAGCCAGGTGATAATCCACAGTAACCAAAATAATAACAAATATTCATGAAACCACTGTCTTTCTTTTTCAGCTCATTATTGAATATTTGCACTGTATTTATTATTTCTGCTGCAAAGAAAGTAAGAAATTACCAACCAATAGATCATGTTCTTATCAAGTGCCAGGCAAAAATAATTCTTATAACTACACACTAGGAAGAGAGTAGGAAACTGGTAGGAAGGGACCAAAATGTTATACAACAAAATACTATGCACGACAAAGATATGGTATACTATAGAAAGCAGATTATTTTTAAAGAAGCGATATAGACTTTTCTGCAAATGTTAAAAATTGATTCTTATTACTTGAGAGGAAGACAACTTGCTCCAATTCTAAAATGGCTTTAAATCATTTTCTCTTTTTACCAGTCAACTGCTTTCCTACAGGCCAATAATAGCATTACCAACCGGGACAACCATGAGAGTCTCCTTACTCACAGTTGTCCAAAGCCTTTAGGCTTCATACTGTGGAATGTATCATCTACTTTTTACCAGCATTATCTTCCAGAACCTAGAGCAAATAACTTCTCATTACTACTAAAAACAAAACAAAAGCACAACCAAAAACAAAAACACACTCTTCCAGAGCTTCCCATTACCTAGAGAATTAGTCTAACCTCTTTTATAGAGTTTTTAATATTCTCTAAACATCTGCTCAAAATTATTCACTTCCCTGCATTCTAATTACCTTCTGCACCAAATTCTACAGTTCTCAAACACACTGTGCATCTTCACAATCTTTGCTCATGCTGAAGCCTCTGCCTCAGACGCATTTCTGCTAATTCTCCATCTGACGATAACTTACTGCCCTTTTAATGTTAGCATTTTTGCCACAGTTAGATCTATTAATTTTATTGGAATCAACTTTGCCCTATAGAGAGGTTTCTGAAAGTATAACTTGCCACCGGTGTCCGTGCTATTAAAAACACTCATGCAGAGAATGCATGTTGACACACCTTGGTTGTCTACCTCATCAGTGACTACCATTGTTCTTATATAACATAAATCAATCCTCAGTAAGTATTTGTAGACATGGAACTTCCTCAGCTTGTTCCCTTTCTCTTTGGTATCTCTTCTCTCCATCCTCAAAGCTCATAATCAATGGCCAATTAATTCCTCTTGTTTCGGCAATGTTCCTCTTGCCTACACAATATTCCCACTTCCATTACCCTAGTTCTAATTTTCATTACCTCCTTCTTGAACTACCGCACTTGCTTCCTTAGCTATTGCTCAGCTTCTAGTCTCTCCCTTCTTAGGCCATTTTGTAGTCAGCTGGTGAAGTCATTTTCCCAAAGCACAGCTCTAATAATTCCATTCCCTGGCTTAAAAAACATCAATTGCTCTCTAATGCCTGCAGACCAAGTCCAAACTCCTTAGCAGGTTTTCTATCATCTGCCCACCATTTGCCTTTGCAAACTTTTGTTATACATTCCCATTATACTCATTCTGCATGCCAGTCATTCCCTGAGGCATTCTGTGGAGTCTCTCCCATTCCCTGACCTGATGTATGAATTCTCTCCTTTGATCTCTTAGGTTACTCTTTTCCTCAACATTGCCTGTTGATATACCCACCTTTAAAGAAACAAATGAAATGCCTCTTCCACAATGATGTATGTCAAGAATGTAATTTTAGATTTTTTTGCTCCTAGAGTATATTCATTGTATTGCTAAAAATGTATTACTCCACTTTACTACTATTGCATACAAAACTGTGCTTGTGATTCAAATCCCCCTCTCTGCAGGGATAAATCATGTTTTGTTTACTTCTCTTCCTGGGGTTGGGCCTTAAACAGTGCAAACACAAAGCACAACTTCTGGATCATCAGAACGATTTAGCAATGAAACAGGCTATCTCGAAGATGAAAAATATTTGAAGAGAGGCTAGATGCTCATCTATGAAGATGACTGAAGGAAATGCATGCACTAGGCAGATGGTGAGATTGCATGACCTTTTAAGTCCCTTACAAGTGTAAGTTTCTGTGCTATCAAGGGAACAGGCCAGGTACAGTGGCTCACACCTGCAATCCTGATACCTTGGGAGGCCAAGGTGGGAGAATCACTTGAGGCCAGGAGTTTCAGACCAGCCTGGATAACAAAGCGAGACCTTGTCTCTACAGAAAATAAAATAATAATTAGCCAGACATAGTAGTGCATGCCTGTAGTACCATCTCCTAAGGAGGTTGAGGCAGGAGGATCATTTGAGCCCACACATTTGAAGTCGCAGTGAGCTTTGATCCCACCACTGCACTCCAGCCTGAGTGACAGAGCAAGACCCTATCTCTGACAAAATGTGGTGGTCACATTTTGACGTTTGAGGGGTCACCACCCCTCGACAGGCCCTGGTATGTGATGTTCCCCTCCCTGTGTCCATATCTTCTCATTGTTCAAATCCCACTTATGAGTGAGAACACACAGTATTTGGTTTTCGGTTCCTGTGTTAGTTTGCTGAGAATGATGGTTTCCAGCTTCATCCATGTCCCTGCAAAGAACATGAACTCATCCTTTTTTATGGCTGCATAGTATTCCCTAGTGTATATGTGCCACATTTTCTTTATCCAGTCTATCATTGATGGACATTTGGCTGGGTTCCAAGTCTTTGCTATTGTGAATAGTGCTACAATAAACATACATGTGCATGTGTCTTTTATAGTAGAATGATTTATAATCCTTTGGGTAAATGCCCAGTAATGGGATTGCTGGGTCAAATGGTATTTCTGGTTCTAGATCCTTGAGGAATCGCCACACTGTCTTCCACAGTGGTTGAACTAATTTACACTCCCACCAACAGTGTAAAAGTGTTCCTATTTCTCCACATCCTCTCCAGCATCTGTTGTTTCCTGACTTTTTAATGGTAAGTGTTATTCTAACTCCCAATGCTGTCTACCTAATGTGAAAGTTCACCATTCTAAGTAACCAGTCCTGGCTTTGTTATGAAATTTGGATGCTGAATCCAAGAGATTAACAACATGATGACAAAATTTACTTATTCTCTTTAAATGTGTATAACCATCAACAAGAGAGACAAGATTATTTATACATCAAGATCCTTGCCTTATTAATTTCGTCTCCCCAAGTATCTAGACATTCCCAAAATAGGAGGTTCAATGTTTTAAATAGCATTGATACATGGTTTTCCAAGTGACTTGGGAGTATGATGACATCTCCTAAGCAAGAGTGATTGGACCCATGATGAATTCAGTTTCTAATGAACAGAACACTAGAGAACTGGGTTTGGATCTAACTTTTGGTTCTTTTCTATATCCTCTTGGAGGTAGTTAGCTTCCTTTACTGTTTAGATGTGGAAAGGGCCTTGTTTGCTAAGTTTGGGGAAATACAAAAAGCTTGGCAGTCAGGAACTAAGCAGGAATCCAATGGACTGAAAACTCCTTTGGAGAAGGATGCCATTTTTTTTTTTTTTTTGAGATGGAGTCTTGCTCTGTCACCCAGGCTGGAGAGTGGCATGATCTCGGCTCACTGTGAGCTCCGAGGATGGCATCTTATGGTTCTTTTTGATTCCTTCCTCCCTAGAAAAGTCCAGAATATGACTCTGAACACTATGTAAGATATGCACATAGTAATGAAAATTAATTGACAAAATTTTCTGTGGAATCTCAATTGCCTTGCAAGAAATAATACAAGTGCAGATCGAGTTTTTAAAACCCTGCATAGGAAGGAGAAGAAAATGAACATTCTGCTTCAGGATTGGAGTTTTCTTTCTGATCTGCTAATTCTACAAAGTATATAAGATTACTCAACACGTTTTAAGTGGAAAGCAACAAGCTTACTCTACATTATAGTAGCCATAATGTCACTAGGGGGTGTATGTTTGGTTGTGAGAGGGTGTTATCAATGTTAATTACAAAGTTTTTAAGAGTTGATAAATTTCTTCATAAAACAATGACATAAAATATCTCTTCAAGGTAACAAATCCTGAGAGTCAAAAAGCTCAGGATGGTTTCAATCAATAACTTTATAACTACCAACTATTTGTTTTTCCAAAATTATTAATTAACAACTAAGAAATTGCTGAAAGCCTCCTTGGAGCATTTTTACAATCTTTGTATAGAAGTAAATAGTATTTATGATAGTATCGATATATTTGGACTAGACTTTACCATGGCTATGGGACCTGCTATAGTTCTTGATGATCCCTTGTCATGAATGGAACTTAGGTAGCTATTGTCACAATCTCTGCAGTCACTAAGCATAGAAAGTCCTCACTAAATGCACTAAGCATAGAACGTTCTCACTAAATGCACAAGATTCAAATAAGATGGTATTTTCCAATTCCTTCACTCAGTCACTTATATGAGGGCTAAAGCCATGGTAACATAGAGGCTCAAGTAACTTAAAAAATAACATATTTGAAATTTACTTGCTGGAAAGGGACACCCCACCTTGATTTTAATGAATTTCAGAGCAAATACAAGCTGTCCTCAGTGGCTTTCATATGAATTCCCTGCACAGTCTTCTTCCTTTAGAAATGCAAAAACTATTTCAAGATTTTTATGCCTGCATGGAGAAAATTGCTATTGTGTACAATTAGCATATTTACTAAGGTTTGTCATTACTTTTGGTAATTAAAATCGTACAAAAAGAGAGACATATCCAATTCAAGAAAATTACACAGTACAGTAATATACAATCATAATAGTCGCCTGACAATTATTAAAATACACCAAGTTCTCCCTTACAGTAAAAGTATTCACCAGAGTAGCTTCTGAATAAGATCATTGCAGTGCTTTCTATTTAAATGTTTTTCTGCACAGAAAATTATAATTACATTTGCATAACTACTGTAATCAATCTAGAATTATGGCTGAAATTTTTATTCTTGAAATCACTGTTCTTTCTAAGATAGTAGGAGCTCTGAGGCATAATCTAGGTTTGTGGGCCATTATTCTAATTTGTAATAGGATTAAATATATTTTTGCACTCTCTTTACAACAATCAATCACTCTAGAGACATAGCAGACGATACAACTACATCACACAATTTGTTTTCTTCTGTCTTGAAAAAACAAACCAGGCTTTAATTTACCAAATCCATTTTGTCCAAAAAGCAAAACAAAACGAACTCAAGTTAAAAAAAAAAAGTCAAATTTATAAAAGGAGAACACCAAATATTATTTCATGAAACAGACTCAATAAGAAGTCAAGCATTCATCTCTACATTTAGATGCTCTGTACTTACTGAGATTAGCTGGGATGGCCGAGATAATTTCTGTCCCATCATGGAAATACTGGCTACCATAAACCAAAGATTTCTTTTGAATGTTCTCCTTTACTCCTGCTGTATTCAACAGGCTTCCTTGGAGCCTGATGTTATTGTCTTATCTTTTTAAAATATCCAAGTCAGATCTGATGAAAACGATAAGCAGACCTAAATACATTAATCTGCAACCAGATTCTGGTAGAGCTAGCCTTTTGCAACGATAACTCTAAGAAAATGCCCTGCTAGCCCCTTCTTCTGACCAATGAGCTGATAATGTAAGACCCTCACAGACACCATCTGCATGCATTCTCTCTCAGGAGTGCAGAGACTCAGACACTGTAGCAGGCCAGAGAATGAGGTGTTCTAAAATCCCCTCTCTCTGGTCCTGCTGCAACTTGTTTTTGGTTACACAGCCCAGCTCCTCAAGAGAATGACATCTCCAGGGATCAGGCCATAACAAAAGAAATTCTCAATAGCACAAACAATATATATTTCCTGAGAAGCACAACATAAAGTCACTACAGAAAGCTACCCTGAAGCATTTCTCTAACATGTGGTTTCAAAATCATTTCCATGTTATCAATGCTAATTATAAAGTTTTTAAGACTTGAAAAATGTCTACATGAAACATTAATGACATAAAATATCTCTGCAAGGTAGCAAATCATTGAGAGTCAAAAAGCTCAAGATGGTCTCAATCAATAACTTTGCAACTACCAACTATTTGTTTTTCCAAAATTATTAATTAACAACTAAGAATTTGCTGAAAGCCTCCTTGGAGAGTTTTTACAATCTTTGTATAGAAGTAAATAGCATTTATGACAGTATCCAGATAAGTTCGGACTAGGCTTTACCTTGGCTATGAGACCTGATATAGTTCTTGATGATCCCTTGTCATGAATGGAACTTAGGTAGCTATTGTCACAATCTCTGCAGTCACTAAGCATAGAAAGTCCTCATTAAATGCAATGTCTTTTTAACAAAGATATTAAACTGAACTCAATATTTTCATACTTTTTTACTTTGGAAGATTTGGAGCTGTGCTCAAAATTGTACAAGGAACTGTTTTAATGACCAATTAATTCAGATTGGCAGATACACAGAAATAAACATGTTCAGAGAATAACAGCAAAGACTACATAGATACCCATAGATTATGATTGACTTTTGGTGAGAAACTCAGATAAGCTGAGGACAAACATTAAATCAGCAGTGGAATTATAACCTTACTTATCTTTGTGCTCAAGTGTTTGTTTATAAGCATAGATAATACCTACCTAAGAAAAATGGAGCCCAGCAGGCAGCTAGATTTATATTTATATAATTTTATAAAATAGGTTCTTGCCTCACCATCAGAGGCTGGTCAAGTTGCCAGCCTCTAGAAAACATTGAGATCTCTAGGTATAGATATATCCTTATTTGGAAGGTGTATGAAGCCAAAATAAAGACAATTCCAAGATTCCTCTTCTTTAAATAAGGTGAAGACCCTTAAAGATGGAGAAAAATAGTCAAAGAAGAAGGCAAAGAATCATAGAAAATTGGAGATAGGTGGATGTTAAGCACATTTTATTTTTTATTTTCATTTTATATACATAAAAATTGAGGCTCAAACAAATGAATATTCTTAGTCATGATTACATAGCCAGCAAATGCATTGATGAATATACAGCTAAATCACTTTCCATTATACAACACTGAATTTGAAGAAATAAGATCACATTATGGATGTAAGGCAAACATAATAGCCCAGGGTCAATATGGCAGAGAAATAAAAGTTAGCATTTTTCTATCTTAAAAGTATTCTGGATTTTCCCCCCATCTTCATAAGGTTGGTAACAACAATAATGGTTCATGGACAACCTAGAATATTTCATATTTAAACTAGAGTCTTTTCTCATGGAAAACAAACCATCCATGTCTTGATCAAAACAGGGGCATGAATTACTAGAAGAATAAGAGCAAAGAAGAAATAAGCATAAAATGTTTTTCAAGGACCATCTTGAGATAATACTATTATAACTGCATTTACAACTTGTATGTCTTTTTAAATCTGATATTTGTAGTAGTGTATAGATTAGCATACTTATGGAACAAATGTGTTTCTCTTTGTTTAAGACAAGTAAGTTATAATTCATACAAAATATTAGTCATGGTGTCATCTCTTCACCAATTCTATTATCATGTATAGGTCACAAGCTATTTCTGGTTTTCATTTTTCTTTAAAAAAGAAAGAAGAGCTTGAATAGATATAGCATTTTGAAAATTTTGTCCTGAAAGACTTTTCCACCTCCATTCATCTTACAGATCTGATAATTTTTCACCAAGGAAACAGTCTTTGTCCTGGAGTCTCATATGGCTCTTGCCATAACAGTATATCCAAAGATTCATTCATTTATTTACTCACTGAATAAATGAAACTCTACAAGGCACCAAGTTCTGTACCATGGCTATGTATACTGTTAAAAACAAGAAAAAGAAGTAGTTGACCTTTTAGAATTTACACTACAGTGAATGGGAAAAGTCCATTTTTTTTATAATGTAGTTTTCATTTGAGTATTGTTTTGTATTATTAATAGTTAACCCATGGAATGGAATGGATTGCACTCCTGAAGTATTACTTCTGTGGGACCTTCAATGCTTGTGGCTGTGTCCTTCTTTGCTGTGGCACATGCTTTGCTAGTGGAAAGAATTTGCAAAGCCCTTTTGTGGGGGAGAAACCCTACCTGCTTGGGATCTGATCTGAAAACAAAACCTACATTTGTTCATCACCACTACCTCCTCTCTAAATCCCTTAAATATCCCTCTACTAACAGTCACTCAAGATCATGATTTAATCATTTCATGTCCAATAAAGTATTGATTTCATTTTCATTGGTTATCTTTTATATGATCATTTAGCCATTTTAGGCATTATATCTTCAAGAAGAAGGAGATTTGTAAATACTACAAAGGGGTTTTCGTTTTGTGTTGTTGAGATATTACTATTAAAGTTTCTTTTTTTTTTTTTGGATACAGCTGTGTAAAATAACCAAGATCTATTTCTCATTCTAGCATGTGGTCTCAGCATTCTGTACAAATGATTTTACTGGCTTCGTAAACTCCCAAGTTAAAGAATCTCTTTAGGAAGAATCTTAATTGACCTCTTGAATTGTTGGCCTGGTACCCAGAGTAAAAGAATTGTGTTTTAATAAGGATTACTTTTGTCGTGGTTTATTATGCTTTAGCACCACACGCTAATTGATGTAGTTGCAGGAAATAAGGTAAGACATGCCATGGTTTGGTTAAAAGCTTCATTACATGTATTTATGAAGAGTCTTATGGATGAAATAATTTACAACATCTATTACATATATTGAAATGTATGCTACTGCTTCCATTTCTTATAATCTGCGGAACCCAGGTCTGAAACCACTTGGTGGAAAACGTTTTTAAATTTTATTTTGGTACCAAGTGGCAATAACAAAAGTTCAATGACTGGCTGAGTAGCAATTTGGACTGATTTCTAAATGTGGGCACAGCATTAATGAAAGACATTTCTTATTTTTGAGATAAAGCAAACCTACATGAAAGAGAAATTACATCATTTGGGTACTAGTTTCAGTGAATGCCTGACAATGGGGGAGTCGGAAGAGTGGTGTAATGACGGAATGCTAAAGCTAGGTGAGTTAGGAAGGGTTATTTGGAGATAAGCCTTGAGTAGGACCTCAAAGAAGGGAAGCAATGTGGATAAGCTAGTAGGAGGCTGATCCAGAAGTTAAATATTAAAAGTATAGCACTAGAGATAGCAACAACCATGTGTCTAGACTAAAGAGCTTGTTTTTTTTTTGTTTTTGTTTTTGTTTTTAGAAATGAGTATGGATGGAGAGAGGGGATTATAGCAGAGCGAATAGTGTTGAAGTCTTGGTGGGGACATTCCGATTTAATAAGTAAGTATAGTTTCTTTATCAAGAGTAACCATTCGAAAATGCTATTTGAGGATTAGTTACCAATGCAACTAAACTTCATAATGAATGATGATCATGGTTAGCACCCACTAAGTGCTTACTATGTGTTATATACTATTTTAAAAACTTCATGTATGTCCTTGTGTTTAATCCAGGATTTTGTAACCATGATGCAATTGACATTTAGGATTAGGCAATTCTTACTTGTGGGGGACTGACCTGTGCACTGTATGATGGTTAGCAGCATCCTTGACTTCTATTCACCAGATGCCAGTAATCACACCAAAACATCCCCACACAACCACAAGTTGTGACAATCGAAAGTGTCTCCAGACATTGCCAAATACTCGAGGGCAAAATCTCCCTAGTTGAGAACCACTGATTTGTTCTTAACACCACGTTTCAGTTAAATTTCATTAATTCTTTTTTTATTGCCTCTTTTTGTAGTTGAGGACATGGATGCTAAATAACTTGCCCAATGTCACATGGTTAATAAACAAATTTTAAAGCCTCCCTGTGAACTCCAGCGACTTAATTCTAGGGCCTGGATTTGTAACCACTATTGTCTATTACATCCCCATAATCTTTCTAGGCAGGAATCTAGCATAAACAAAAAAAGAAATAGCCCAGTGTAGTAAGTCTCGTTTGAACTGATATATGAAAAAAATGGCAGACATTTAAATTTTAGGTAATGCTATCACAGCCGGTGTAGTCAAGACTTCTGTCTTTTGTTTTGCAATTTATCAAAAGGCTGACTTTCTCATCTAATCCTATTTCAGTGGTATGTTCTACATAATTTTTAAGAGATTTTGTTGTATCTAACCTTAAATCAATATCACAGCAGTTTTATGATTTTTTAGTGCCTCTCTCATCATTTCTTCTAGGCTTTGGCTGGACAAGGGGAATAAAAGCCCTGTGTTTTTCCACAACTATAAGAAATGCAATTATCAGAGCATATCTTGTACTTTCCAAGTATCCCTAGATTGTACAATATGCCTAACTGTCCTAACACAAGGGGACACTTGCTGCACACTTTATGATTAGAGCTGTTCCATGTTCCTTTAACGATATGTGGAAAGCAAGGAAAAGAATGCTAGGAGGGAAAAAGGTCTCTCCTTTCTTTGATGTGGAAGTTTTGCAAATCATATAGTGAGACCTCCTAAGAGTTCATCTCACTCTAGGCACACAGGAGACTGTGGCTGGAGTAGGGAGGAAGAAATGAGAATAACATAGAAATGATTATAAATGGTCACAGCCTGTCTTTGGCTAGAAAAATAAACAGGGATTTCTGCCAAAAAAAAAAAAAAAAAAAAAAAAAAAAGACCTGGGCTTGGGAGGAGGCAGCCTGGCCCTCTGTGTGTGGCCTCTGTTTACCCTTCTGTATAATATTATGACAGGTCCTTTTCAATGATAATGTTCCATGCATCAGTAATAATGAATGAAAAACAAGAAAGCACTTGCAGGGTTTGCCTATTACCTTAAACCACTGAACATCATAGAGAAGGCAGCAGATGTGACAGACAAAAAGAGATTCATAGATTAATATAGCTGAAAGCACACTGACAGCCAAAAGCATGTTTTTTTTCCATTCCAGAAAGTTCTACCTGTGAAATCTGAGACTCTGCCTTTTCATCTATAAAATGGGATAAAACTATCTTGCAGGATTTTGTGAGGCTTAGATAAAAATCTCCAAGGAGATGGAATTTCCAACAGTATCCATCAAAATACAGGCACTCAGTAAACTTACACGGGCTAAATAGATAAATAGTTTTCAAGTGAAAATGTAATTGTGAAGTGCAGTTTAGTTCTCTTTGCCTCTCTAGGGCTTTGTAGAACATGAAAAAAAGAAGTAAGGATCTTTTTATTTTATTTTTTATTTTAACAAGACCCATGGACTAAAGGTAAAGAGTAATGCAATTTAAAGGACCAATGCAACTAGGTAGGTAAAGTCCTACCTAGACTCAGAAAGTCCAGACACCAGTTACAGGAAACAAGATAAAATGTATGAGTCTCAGGATAAGACCGAGGGTTTCAACATTACTCACAGAAGGCAAGATGCCATTTTCTACAAACTTAGGGGCCTTTCTTTGCGTTTAGTCAACTAAACTTGAAGTGAGAGAAGGAACTCAAATAGGAGAAATGGCTACCATTTCTTTGCCGGTGATGGGGGAGAAGTGAAAGCAGTGGGGCTATGTATTATTCTGTTCTCACCCTGCTATAAGGAACTGTCCGAGACTGGGCAACTTATAAAGGAAAGAGGTTTAATTTACTCACAGTTCCGCAGGGCTACGGAGGCCTCAGGAAACTTACAATCATCGTGGAAAGGGAAGCAAACACATCCTTCTTAACATGGCCGCAGAAGAGAGAAATTAGTGCCCGCAGGGGAAATGCCAGATGCTTATAAAACCATCTGCTCTTGTGAGAACTCACTTACTATCACGAGAACAGCATGGGGAAAACCACCCCCATGATTCAATTACCTCCACCTGGTCCCACTCTTGACATGTGCTGATTATTACAATTCAAGGTGATAATCAGAGCGCAGACACACAGCCAAACCACATCAGGCTATATGGAAAAAAATAAATCAAAGAAGTTTGTCCTCAGACACAGAAGCAACATTTCACGTTCCAAGACATTCTACAATGAAGTGAGAAGCCTGGCACTTCCTTCCTCCACTTCCAGACTTAATAACTGGTAGAACAATAATATCCGTAAGTAACAAAGAGCCTGGAATGGATGAGTCTGACAAAGCCCATCCATCCTGCCACCTCACAAACTATCTATATTTGTTCTTTTTTCTCCAGCTTTGGAGACAGAGGATGTGTTCCAGCTCACAGACTTTCAGGAATAATACTGGAAATTGACATCTAATCAGCATTTTATGCACTATAATTGTGTAAACTTTTAGGCCTGCTGTACAATAATCCTTCCCTGCTGTGTGGTGAGCACTTTGGGGCCCTCTGGATGCTAGATGTGATATGAATGGGAAGCATTATTATTATTTATGCCTTATAATATGTCAACTCTATGTCCTCTGCCACAACAGACACTTATTTCAAATGTGCAGTAACAGCCCCCAAGTGATGTATTGTCAAAATATTTTTGAAATGAAAAAGCAAAATTAACCATAAACTGCCCCCTTGTCTCCATGAAAATGGCACTGTAACACTACCAAGGAAAAGCAATGTTAAATAATAAAAGCTACAACAAAATAAAAGTCAAAAAAAATTGGAAGAGCTCTGTGTTTGGAAGAAGTATGCTTTGGTAAATCACAACAATGACAATTTCGCTTTCCAATTAAAGTGTAATAGTGAAAGAGCAAACCATCACCCCAGGGTATCCTCAAGAACAGCTCAATGAATTCTGGCTTACTTAAAAAGAAGTTTTCAGTGGAGCTGTTTTTCTTGCAAAAGATTTTAGAAAAAAACACAGCCTTTTTTTTTTTTTTTTTGGATTTACATTACGCGAACCCTGATATTATCAGATATCATCTAATGACTCATCAATTCATACAGACCTTTAAGGTTGGAAAGCACATATTTAAATATATAGTAGACAGCAAGTAACAAATGATAGGAACTACATTTTAGTGGGTAAAATCCTTCTGCACCATCAAAGACTTTCTAAGAGCTATGGGTTTATTACTCAGGTGATTCAGTTTCCATTTTGGGACAGGTCATATTAATTTTCAGGATCTTTTCCCAGAATGTTATTTAATTAGTGTGACTAAATATCTGAATCAGGATGCTACGGTATTTTTAAAAAGGAAGATGTCGATTTAAATGTGATAGATACTTAACAGTTTGATAAACTTTTAACAGACTGTAACCTTGATGCTTTCCCTGGTGTAGGGAGGCATCCAAGGGACCCTGGTGAACTGAAAAAGTTAATGCACTTCTCTAAACATTTTGAGTCTGGCAGAATCTGGAACTATAAAATAACATTTCTTCATTAACATACAAGTCACAATGCTATTCCCATAAAGCACCTCTAGCATATAAGGCTGGACGTTTTTCAGACCATCATTTATAGGGCGGGTTTATTTTTCTTTGTCTTGACATTAATGAGCTATGTATTCAGGGAAATAGAAGATTTCAATGCCTGTCAAATTACCTTTCAAATTACCAAAGCTTGCTTTTCTCCTACTCAAAGAGCAAGCAGGGACTTCTTTTAGAATGGGGGACCAATGGAATATTCAGTAAAAAGGGTCATGAAAATAAATGTGAAGGCAGTAATGGATCCATTCCAACCATGACTTCATGACAAAATGCTGTGACTTCAGCATTTCATTACTTGCCATGTTCTCATCCTTTGTATTATTATCACACCTCCCCTCTCTCCCACGTTATTACATCTTTTTGGGAAAAGAAGATATGTGAAAATTTCTGTAGTTGTATGATACCTTGTTCTAAAATTTAGACTGCTGATTTGATATGAAACACATAATGTTTTTATAGATCAAGGCTGCCAGTTATTTGTAACCATTCTGTTACAAAAATCTTTCCTGAGCAATCTTGGTATATCATCTTCTGCCACATCCTTAGCAATTAACTGAAGCTAACTGTTTCACTAACATTTCCTTTTCCATTTATGTAGAATGGGCTGAATGTGTTAATGCAATATAACAAGAGAAATAGGCACAGAAAAATCCTCTTTCATATCGATCTCAGAATCCTGTCTGTGTCTCATTTGGGATGAAGAGAAAAAATAATCAAGAAAATATGTGTTGGCAGGGTTAAGAATACAAAGGAAATATTACTGGAAAATATTTAATAGGTAAATATAGATGAGGGAATAGGCACAAGGTTAGGTAACAAGCAGATTGAATTTCAAATTTCCTAATGACTCTCCCTGTTTTGCAAATCCTTCCAAAACATTACCTCATCTGTGCTTTCATCATCCCTAGGGTATAGGGTTCGATTACTCATCCTATCCCTTTGCACAATGGAGAAATTTACATGTATTCAGCCCTAGCCGTCCTTCTAGTCATTCTCTCAGTTTAGTACTTACTTGTTTTCTTATTTGGGTTTTGGCCTGTTCTCCATAAGTTTGAAAGCTGTTTGAGGACAGGGATATGTTTATTCTGTACTTTTCTGGTATCCTCGCTTGGAAATTTAGTACTTAAGAGCTAGGTCGGGCTGGGCGCGGTGGCTCACGCCTGTAATCCTAGCACTTTGGGAGGCCGAGGTGGGTGGATCACAAGGTCAGGAGTTCAAGACCAGCCTGCCCAAGATGGTGAAACCCCGTCTCTACTAAAAATACAAAAATTAGCCAGGCATAGTGGCGGGTGCCTGTAATCCCAGCCACTCGGGAGGCTGAGGCAGAGAATTGCTTGAACCCGGGAGGCTGAGGTTGCAGTGAACCGAGATGCTGCCATTGCACTCCAGCCTGTAAGAAGGAGCAAGATTCCGTCTCAAAAAAAAAAAAAAAAAAAAGGAGGCTGGGCGCGGTGGCTCAAGCCTGTAATCCCAGCACTTTGGGAGGCCTAGGCGGGCGGATCACGACGTCAGGAGATCGAGACCATTCTGGCTAACACGGTGAAACCCCGTCTCTACTAAAAAAATACAAAAAATTAGCTGGGCATGGTGGCGGGCGCCTATAGTCCCAGCTACTCCGGAGGCTGAGGCAGGAGAATGGCGAGAACCCGGGAGGCGGAGCTTGCAGTGAGCCGAGATCGCGCCACTGCACTCCGGCCTGGGTGACAAAGCAAGACTCCGTCTCAAAAAAAAAAAAAAAAAAAAAAAAAAGAGAGAGAGAGAGACCTAGGGAGCTACGTCCTCATTAACTATTATAAGGTGGTTTCAGAGGAGCATGTAGTGCACTATTGAAGCTCAGGTTTATCTTAATAGGTGTATTTGTATACATTCATTAAGTATACGCAGACTAGGCACTCCTCATTTTACACTCAAAACTCAAGTAGCTGTAGGACTAAATTACTTATGATTTTGATTTATAAACAGCAGAAGAACAATGGGTAATCCATATTAAAAATGATTGTGTATCATCTCCTAAAGAAAGCATTTTGAATACGTGTTTATCCTGTTCTTAAATGGTTTTACTCTTTGTTATATTCATTCTAATTAAACTGTTCTAGTGCAAAAATGCTAAAGCAATTTCTGTAGTTTCATTTTTTATTCTAAAATTCTTAACTGTATACTGAAAGTGAGCTTATGAAACATTCTTGATATGAAAACTCACAAGTTTTCAAACATAATTCTTTATCTTTAAACACAATACCTACCTGAAATTTTGCCAGACAGGCTTATCCTCAGAGTATGCTTTAGTAGGTTAATACTCTGAAGAATTAAATGTAATTCACATATTAACTACTGGTAGAAATCCATGTGCAATCATATTGTTTACTTGATAATTCCATATACATCTTTAAAATCAAAATGCTCTGTTTCACTTCTCAGGAGCAGTTCTGACACATTTTATACTTTTTGCAGATTCAGGATTAGCCAGGTAGAGCTAGCCTGTGTTGGCTTCCCAGTTAAAAATCAATAAATTTTAAACATAAATAAAAAGAAATTCTCTCTTTAAAAAGTATTTTGAATTTCTATATGTGTGTGTATGTATGTATAATTACAGTAGTAAAAATTTTATTAAATCTCTACCAAAATCTCTCCTGACACATTCCTTTCTCTTTCTACTTTTGAGTAACTATAATAATCCTTCTCAATTTTTCTAGAAAAAGAAACATGCATTCAAACTGATCTCAGAAAAGAATTTTTCTCATGCCAAGTCAAACAAGTTAGCAATGGTAAAATATATTTCATTAAAATTTTAATCTAGTCATTAGGTAGGGAAGGTTAAATAACTTAAGCCTTTTCTTAACTATTAATAGATAATGTCAACTCTTGCCTAGCAGCTTCAATAAGCTTTTGCAAAGTGTTGAATTCCAGTAAGCACTTTCAGAAGGGGTAAGATGTATACGTGATCATCTACTTAGGTCATAATACTGCACAAATAGTGCTAATGTGAAATATCTGCTGGGATTTTTAGTACAGGTTGTTTTTATAGTTTAAGGATCAAGTTGCTTAGAGAGTGTTCACTTCTCTAAGACATACGGAAAATATCTATGAAACTTTACTATCTGAATGTGTACTACCTGGGCACACTATATATAGCTAGTATAGCAGGATGGAAACTTCTTTTGGTTGGAAAATGCGTAGACACAAATGACAAAATCAAGTGTAAGCAAAGACAGTAAGCATATTGGAAATTATCTTGGACAAAGAGAATTTTGCATTTCTTTTGAATATCTCCTATGGAATATATCACATAGTTACTAAATGCTTCCCGTTGAGAAATAGTGAAGAAGTATTTTTCTAAGAAATAAATTATTAGAGACTCAAATATTAACCCTTATTAGCCATACTTACAAGAGACAAGGATGTTAGTTAAAGCCAGGAGAATTCTTTAGTGCTGTCTTTCTAGACGTTAGAATTTCTCAAATGTATTCAGTAATTAAAAACATTTTGAAAAATTTTTAAAAATGTAATATACAATCATTTTAACACATATTTTGCTAAATCATCTATTCAGAAGTCCTCTAGTTTCTTTATGACCCTATACAGAAGATAATTCAAAACCATGGCTACAACATATATGTTAATGGTAATATTTATTTATTTATTTAGAGATGGAGTCTCGTTCTGTAACCCACACTGGACTGCAGTGGCACGATCTCGGCTCACTGCAACCTCCACTTCCAGGGTTCAAGAGATTCTCCTGTCTCAGACTCCCGAGTAGCTGGGACTACAGGTGTGTGCCACCATGCCTGGCTAATTTTGGTATTTTTAGTAGAGACGAGATTTCACCGTGTTAGCCAGGATGATCTCAATCTCCTGACCTCATGATCTGCCCACCTCAGCCTCCCAAAGTGCTGGGACTACAGGTGTGTGCCACCATGCCTGGCTAATTTTTGTATTTTTAGTAGAGACGAGATTTCACCGTGTTAGCCAGGATGATCTCAATCTCCTGACCTCATGATCTGCCCGCCTCAGCCTCCCAAAGTGCTGGGATTACAGGCATGAGCCACTGCGCCCGGCTACAGGCAATTTTTTAAAACCTGATAAATATTTATTCCTTATTGTTCCAGTCCTGGATATTAACTTCTAGAATTTAAAAAAGGTGATACCTTAGTACTTTCTGATTTAAAAATTTTATTAGCTCTTGTACTTAATGATTAGATACATAGAATGACAGATCTTCTAATACAATTAACTCTGTAAATCAAGAATCTTTTCTTCCCCAAAATAATATAAAAAGATATAAATAATTTACAAAAGCAGGGGATTACATTTAGCACCAATTCAAAGTTCTTGTGAAAACAATTAAAGAATGTGTGCAAAATTTCAAAACTGGGATACAAATCTGAAATTTTATAGAATCATTGTCAAACAATTGCAGATGCAAGAATAGTATGTTTGATTTATTTCTTCATACTTTGGAACAGAATCAAGTTTGTATAAAAAAATCAAATTCTCAATTTTTACAAAAAGAGATGTTTTGTATTTAGTTATACTCCATAATTTCCTTTCACTCTTTCTATGAAATCTGTGATGAGTAGTCACTGAAATATCAAGACACAACAATGTTAGACTTTCATTCAGTGGCCTGTAAATTTACTGGTTGCCAGAATATCTTATATAGTAGGTAAAAATAGAGCTTCTAGGAAGACTGAATTCTATCCTTAGTTAATGCTGAGGTTCAGGCTACATATATTCCCAATTGTTGCTGAAATTAAGTAGTACTACATCATTCTGTCACCTGCCAAGGGAGTATGTGTCCTTCCTTCCTCACTGATACCCAGGGAAGAAACAAGAATGCACTGAAGATAGTGATTTGCAGCAGGTGCTGAGGCTCCCTTGATATATGTACATATACATGTCTGACTCCATAATATACTGGAACCCATAAGAAAGGCATAAATTACTACCAAGTGTTTCTCTCATTCTTCCTGGAAAGAAAGTCCTACTACTTTACCTTGCTTAGTAAATCTAGGTGCTGCTCTTTCCTAAATGAAATTTTGATTAAGAATTATTATATCTGAAACTCCTTTAACCTCCATCACTTCTCTTTTTCAATGCCATTTGCAAATATGTGCTGTAAGATATAAAGAAACACTGATAAGATTACAGTTCCCCTGGTACTGTCCAACTAAAAAGGAACCCAAGAACATTTAAGAGCCTGGTGTCATTTTTTTTTTCTGGGAAAATACATCCCATTTTTTCTCCTGTAAATGCTTTCAACCTGGTGACCTATGACAGCTTTGCAGTGAAAATCTTGAACTGGTTTTTACTTACTTTGAATAAAAGGTTAATACAAGGCTTCATGGAGGTTTAATCAGCACCACATTCAAAAATGAGGGAAGCAAAGGCAAAGCTAATGAATTGACCTTTTAAAGAGCAATTCAATGGGATAATTGCCATAGCACAATTCACTTCGGGGCCGAATATGTGTATATGGCTGGTCTTCCTTGGATCCAATCCAAGGACATTTAAGTATGTAAGTACCAAAATCATGGTGGGTTGGATGAGGTGGACAACAACATCACATACAACCTAGTGGACCTCAAATACATTTTTCATAAAAGTAAAGCTGTGCTTTCACGCATAATTTTAACCTAATCAACCAGTTCATGTATGCCACCAAGAAAAATTAAAACATTATTAACATTATCTGCCATCTGTGCTAAACACTTTATATTTGTTATTTTGTACAATTTTCATAGCACCCCAGGCATTAGGTGTTTTTATTCCTATTTTACAGATGAAGTTGGATGTCTGTCTAGATACATTGCCAGTTCTTCCTGAAATCAAGTAGTTATTCATCCTTCTGTTCTTCCAAGGAATTGTGTGTCCTACCTTTCTCACTGATACCTAGGGAAGAAACAAGGATACACTGAGAACAGTGATTTGTAGTAGGTGCTGAGGCTGGCTTAATATAGGTACATATGCATATCAGAGGGGTTTAAATAATATGCCTGATAGACCACGGTGGATGACATTAGGAACTGAGACTGAACTTTATCTAACAAGACCTTAGACCGTGACTACTCACCTACTCTTAACAAAAAGGACAGGTTTTTGCCCTGAGTGTTTTTCTAAAACATCTTACATGTAGAAGTACCCCCAAGGTTAAACTCAAGATAATAAAAAGGTTTCCCCTTGGTCTTATGCCCTACTTTTCCTACCTTTATATTTATGAGAAACATTACAATATATGTGCTATCTTATAGGAGAAAGCTAACAGTTTCCTTTAAAGGGGGGAAGATTGGGCTTTTTTCTTTAAATCAATTATGGCTGTGGCTAAAGAATTAAAGTTTGAGTGCAGAGAATCAGGTTTTAGTCCCATTTCTGCAACTAGCTTTGTCACCAGAGTAATTCTTTTTTTTTTTGGAGACGAAGTCTGGCTCTTTTGCCCAGGCTGGAGTGCAATGGTCCGATCTCGGCTCGCTGCAACCTTTGCCTCCAGGATTCAAGCGATGCTCCTGCCTCAGCCTCCTGAGTAGCTGATATTACAGGTGCACACCACCACTCTTGACTACTTCTTGAATTTTTTTTAGTAGAGATGGGGTTTCATCACGTTGGCCAGGTTGGTCTCGAACTCCTGACCTCATGATCTGCCCACCTCAGCCTCCCAGAATGCTGGGATTACAGGCGTGAGCTACTGTGCCCAGACACCAGAGTAATTCTTTAGGTTACTCACCTATAAAGTGAAGGTTCTGGGCTAGCTGATGAATGAGATTCACAGTAGTTTTCAGATGGTGTGATTTCAGTACTGTTCACTCAGCCTATATATCTACAAACACTGCACTAGATACTGTGAAGAGATACGCAATAGCTGACAAGACACAGGTTAAATTCTGAATGGGTTTATAATTTGGCAAATTGGGGGTCGGCAGTGAGTGAGGTAGAGAGTGGAGGTGCAGCAACAAAAAATGTTCTTTTATGAAAGATAATCTTTACTAACCCACTACACCTGCGATGTTCCTTTTAACTGCATATTCCTACAATACATATATACAACTCTATCCAACCACGGCTTTACAATCAGTCCCAGGAGATGATTTGTAAACAAGATTTGGGGAACAGTAGCAAATATGAGTAGGTAGAGAAATGAAATTTTAAAGTAAGAAGACTGGCTTATACGGCGACAAGGAGTTAGAGATGAGGAGTCAGACATGTTGAAATGAATGGAACTTATATTTAGATAGGCACATAAATGACATGTGCAATGTCATATGAAACAAAGCTGCTATAGGTCATGGAAGCCACAATCTTCAGGAAAGTAGCTAAAGAAATTGAGGTGGCAGTGGGAAGAGTAAATCAGGACCAGAGCGTATGTAAGAAAAATATGACAATGTCAAGTAGCAGAAAATTTGAAAATGCTTTGGGGTATCTACATTTTAAAACACATTTCTGGAAGTAATATTAGTTTCTTAAGCATCTATAGTGCCAGGAATGTTGCATGCATCATCTGTCATAATTTTTACAATCATCTTGCAAACTCAGATATACTTTCCTATTTTATGCATGCTTAAGCAGGTTAAGTGGCTTGATAAAGGTCTCTAGCTAGTAAATGAGAAAGCCAGGAAGAGATCACAAGTGTGCCCTGCAGCTAGTACCACGTCAAGTCTTACTCCCCAATTAATTTTGCAAATATGAAAAGTAATGACTTTAGCCTATGTGGCCCAACTTCAGGCCAGTCCCAACTGGGAAGATTTTATAATAACTTCTTAGAAACTGCTACTGGCTCTTTCTCACTGGCTTAGTAGTGGATATTAATCTCTTTATTTTCCATATACAGGCATATGGCTTGCAGACATGGCATACTGTGTGCATAAAAAACTTCCTTAGAAAATACATCATCCAAGAAGCAGGAATTGCTGATTATTTCATTACTGCAGCAAACTCATGTTTCTACCATCCCAAGTCCGGACTCTGTCTACAAGAGTAGAAAAAATCCACTAGATTTTTAATTCAACATCTATTCAAGTTTTGAGGCACATGCTATCTGAAACACCGTAATTTTTGAGTTTGAAACAGAGAATTTTTCTTTAGCAACTTTGGCCCTGAAATGTCCTCCAATCTCAATGTCAGGAGGTTTGCTACAATGGTCTGGAGAGTGTAGTTTTTCATAAAAATATGTTCTATTTTTCAACACCAAATGAATATCTCTTTCCTGCATATTGCTCAAAATAGCCATTTCCTTCACATGGTTATGTTTTATTACTCATGTCATCAGATCTGGCAATGTGAGATTTATTTAGGGGGAACATTTCATCAATTACAAAACATAAAGCATGTGCTGTCTCTCAATGAGTTCAGTTACATCTTAAATAAGTTCTGAGCTGTTGGGAGAATTACAAAGAACACACTTTTCCTGAAAACCATTAAAATTGCATACTCATAGAATTTTAAAAAAATTCTATGCCTGAAGTTTTAATATTTTTATCCCAGGGAAGTGGATTTTTTCACTTCCTTTTTAGATTATGGCCCTGAGAATATATCACCCGAAAATGAAGCATGAAAAACAAGACAACTTGAGAGCAACTCACAGAAATTAGCTGATTTCATGATATTTATGTGCTACTCACTTGCATTGTTTAAGTCTTTTCTTTTCTTTTTTTTTTTTTTTTTTTTTTTTTTTTTTTTTTTTTTTGAGACGGAGTCTCGTTCTGTCACCCAGGCTGGAGTGCCAGTGGCGTGATCTTGATTCACTGAAACCTCCGGCTCCCAGGTTCAAGCGATTCTTCTGCTTCAGCCTCCCAAGTAGCTGAGACTACAGGTGTGTGCCACCACACCCAGCTAATTTTTTTGCATTTTTAGTAGAGACGGGGTTTCACCATGTTAGTCAGGATGGTCTCGATCTCCTGACCTCATGATCCACCCAACTCGGGTTCCCAAAGTGTTGGGATTACAGGCGTGAGCCACTGCACCTGGCCCTGTTTACTTTTTTCATTGACTCTCCCTGCCTTAAGAGTAAAGCTCAAGTTTCTACCCTGTCCTGATTTATTTCCTTCTTTCCTTCCTTCCTTCCTTCCTCCCTCGCTCCCTCCCTTCCTTCCTTCTCCTTCCTTTTCTCTTTTCCCTTTCCTTCCTTTGTTCGTTCCCTTCCTTCCTTCGTTGCTTCCTTCCTTCCTTCCTCCCTCCCTTCCTTCCTTCCTCCCTCCCTCCCTCTCTCCCTTCCTCCGTTCTTTCCTTTGCTCCTTCTCTCCTTTTTTGAGACAGTGTCTCACTTTGTCTCCAAGGCTGGAGTGCAGTGGCACTCTCATGACTCACTGGAGACTTGACCTCCGTGGCTCAAGCAATCCTCCCAACTCAGCTCCTGAGTAGCTGGGACTACAGGTGCATGCCACCATGTCCTCCTAATTTTTATATTTTTTGTAGAGACAGGGTTTCCCAGCTTGGCCTTGAACTCCTGGGCTCAAGTTATCCTCCCGCCTTGGCCTCTCAAAGAGTGGGAATATAGATGGGAGCCATGGCAACTGCCTGAGCCCTACCCTGTTTTTGCAGGGCCCTGCATATTGTAGTCTCTGTCTCCTAAACAGGGGAAACTTCTATCCTAACACCTTTGCTCAAACTGTGCTTGCCACCTAGAATATCTTCCCACATGCACAGTTATGGGAAGCCTCCTTATACCTTAAGGGCCTTGCTCCAGTTGTAAATAAGCCCCGATTCCTATTATGTTGTGTTAGTTTTCTCTGGGCTAACATTCTGTCTTCAAGATCTTTGTGTTTAGATCCTTTGTATGTTTCAATGTGTCTTGGGCATAAGTACTGAGAGCACAGGTTAAATGCAAAGGTGAGAGAGGCTGTGGAGAAAAAATTAAAAAAAAAAAAACTTTTGGCATATTTAGAAGTCACTTTGCTTCTCTTACTGTCAATGCTCTTATTTCTGCCCTAGCCATAACTGTAAGAAAATACTTACCAGTTGTTCAAAGATAGGTTGTTCAAAGTAAAACATTAAAATGTTGCTCTTTAAAATTCTTTTTGTGGATATACTGAGGGAGCTTTTATAATCCTATAAATATAGAGAATTGGGTGCACATTTCTTCTTTAAAGACAGGTTTTTACCCACTCTTCCTAGGTATCTAACAAGGAGACATCAAGGCATTTTAAAACAAAAGACCCAGATTCTAAAATAATAATGTCTTTTTTTACACTCAAGATTCCAAACACAATTTGACTGACCTTCAACAGTCTTGTAAATAGCCATATCTAGTCTCACTCCCTATAGAGAGAAAATCAACAGCATAGTGTGTCCTACTGAATATTATATAAGTTGTTAGTATCAGCATTAAAACAAGGGAGTCTTACTCCTTAGGTGCTGCTACACATCATCTGGATAGGCAATCTCTCAGCACACCACCTAGGCCTTATCTTCTGCACATTGCTCAGGCTAAGGCCATGCCTGGCAGGTAGTCAGTATGCAACAAATGAGCCATCAAATATAACAATATAATGAAAGGCCATTAGGTAGTCTCTAGAAATATCTGTCCTTAATCTTACATTTGTTTTTTCTCACTGTATGTCTAAACATTGCTAGTTTATCCCAGAAACCTAGTTGCTTCTTTTCTGACAGTGGTTGTATTAGGTAAGATGGGATTGATAAAATAATCTTGGAATCTTAACATGTAATTAGGTGAACAATAAAACTATATAACCAAGGAAATGTGCTGGGTTCAAGCATAATCAAGATACAAAATTTGTCTTCATGGAGCTTGCAATGCTGTTAGTGAGTTTGATGGTCTGAATGTTTGTGTTTTCCCCAAATTCATATGTTGAAACCTAATCCTCAATCTGATGTTATTAGGAGGTGAAGTCTTTGAGCAGTGATTAGGTGTTGAGGATGGAGGCTTCATGAATGGAATTAGTGCCTTTATAAGAGGCTGAACAAACCAGAGTTCTTCCTTTTCACCATGTGAGAGACAACACAGCTAAAAGACAGCTATCTGTGAAGCAGGAAGCAGGCCCTCACCAGATACCGAATCAGCTGCCACCTTGATCATGGACTTCTAGCCTCCAGCATTGTGAGAAATAAATGTATGTTGTTTAGAAGTCACCCAGTTTATACCATTTTGTTATAGCAGCCCTATTGGACTAACACAGTGAAGCAGTCACTACGGACTGAATTAGGTCCCTGCCCAAATCCATATATATCAAAGCCCTAACTCCCAGTGAGTTTGTATTTGAAGATAGCATCTTTAGGAGGTAGTTAAGATTAGATGAGGTCTTAAGCATGGGATCCTAATCCAACAGGACTGGTGGCCTTATAAGAAGAGGAAGAGGATGCACACACACATGCTCTCCATCCTACACGCAGGAACTAAGGAAAGGCCATGTGGACACACAGCAAGATAGTGGTTTCCTGCAAGTCAAGCAAAGAGGTCTCGAAATGAAACCTACTTTACTGGCATCTTGATCTTGGACTTCTTAGCCTCTGGAACCGTAAGAATAAATTTCTGTTCTTTAAATGCCCAGTCTGTGGTGGCCCAAGCAGACTAAGTCAGCAGTAGGGCACATTGGGCTCTGAATTTAATATGAATAGGTTTCACCACTTGTCAACTATTTGACTAGAGGGACTTTCTTAGCCTTATCCTTAATAAGCCCAAAGGTCTTTTGAATGAACCTTATAAGAATATCTATCTACCTCAAAATATTATTGTGACATTTAAAGGAGAAAAATAAAATATAAAATGCCAGCTCCATGCCAAAATATAAAATAAAATAAAATACCCAGCTCCATGCCAAAAATGCTCAAAGATGCAAATGCAAGCAGGCATTTAAAATGTCTGGGTAACTATGTGTCAAGTGGGTAGCAGAGACAAAAGGACTGTAGAATTTTGGAGGAGAAAGAGGGTCTCTTTGGTTGGAAGAATCAAAGAACATTCAAGATAGACTTAATATTTATCTCAGCTTGACTAAAGGTTAGACAGGTTGCTTCCTGACTATAGGCCCATGACCTTCTTTTCCTTAGAGCCTTTACTTTAGAAAACTTGCAATTATAAATTCTTTCTCTGCCCCTTTTGAAATGTATCTAAACCTCCTTAAAAGCCTCTGGCCAGTTCTATGATCTAGGGAGTATCTCTCTCAAGGACCTGCATGCCATACTTTTCAGATCTAATTATCAAGAAAGATAGTGCCCCCATCTCCCAGTCTCTGTGGACACATAGGAGTCTATCATAAGTGAACAATTAGAAACTATAAAACACTTTATGTCATGCATATGTGAGAAAGTTTACTTTCTCCTCCTGTAAGGATAACAGGCAAACACAGGTGGCCTATGATTCTCCTACATCTGCTCTTAAAAACTGTCCAACACTTTGTTTCTTCAGAGTTGAGTTCAGTTTCTCTCCCCTATTGCAATAGCCTTGATTAAAGTCTTCCTTGCCTGTGAAACTTTGTCTAGCACATTTTTCTTTACTTTGACAGGAAACATTCATAGAGAATATACAACTTGAAATATGTTGTAAGGTATGGCTTAGATATTGGTTTGGCAATGTATAACTTAAAATGAAAAGCTGCATGCATTTTCATGTTAGCAGTAACTAGTTATGGCATGTCTCAATGCTTTACTCAAGAGTTTTCTTGAGATCTTTTTAATATATATTATTTCAACAGTTACTCAGCACAAAGTAAGTATTTTTTCAGGCTCAAAATCCTGCACTAACATTGTAAGCTCCCTATGGCACTAGAGTTTGTATATATACTTTCAGGCAGCTGAAGACATAGGTAAATCTTTGCAAATGGGGAGAGAGGGGGACAAAAAAGGGTTCCTGGCTCATAATTTTAAAGCACTACCCACAGTGGGACTGTTTTCTAAAGAACTCTTAAGTATGCAGCATATATACTAACATGTAAAGCACACCTTTTGCACTAATCAAATGTGAAGTTATATAAATTTAATATCCAATGACTTAAGAAAGTGGGATGCCAACACTCATCTTTATGACTAAAGTATACAATTTTATGAATCAATGTAAAGAAGCCAGCATGCTTGGAAGGAATCTTTTGCTCAAACTCAGATTATGTTATTACACTGCTAATCTTGGTGTGTTTTTTTAAAAACGTAACATCCTTCTAATCAAGCATGATTAGTTACAAATAGAATCCAAAGAAATATCTCAAATGACTATATATCTAAATTATCTTGCTTATTACTTATGGGATATTTTTCTTATCCATATCCAGGTTAATTACAATTTCAGAAATTATCTGTACAAATGAATAAAATTCAATTCTCTTAGCCAATGAGTTACTTTTTCCAGTGTAAAGTACAGTCATTTAGGCATTCACAATATATGGAATTTAGAAATCTTTTAACATGATGAAGTTGAAAAAAGTAAACAAATATTACTTTGCCAATTCTCCACCAGTCAGAAGCTTGTCTATATACTAACTGTGTATTTAGAAAATATCAATGCATAAGGAAGAGAAATGCAATTTGTCTCATCCAAACGCATCATATAAAATGACCAAGTGCTGTTAAGTGCTAGAGATGTGTCTCAAAAGACTCTCAATGTCTGTATCATTTTGGGGTTGTTTGGAAGTTAAACCCTTTTAGTAAGAAGTATTGGAAGATAAATCTAGTTCTCAGCCCTTAATTCGCCATTCACTGGTGAGGTGTTCTTATTAGAGAGCATGTCTCCTGGTCTCACTAGTTCCTAATGAATGTGTCTGGCCTTTCCTAGCAATATATAAATTCTGAGAAATTGGAAGACATGATTGCTCCCTACCCAATTCTGAAAAGAGTGAATATATCATTCTTTGTAACAGATGGAATGTATTAAAAATATATCAATATGTGTTTTCATAAAAAAGAAAATATCTACCATTCAATTAGAAAAGTATTTTGGAGAATAATAAAAATGATAGATATGCTATTTTACTGTTACTAGCCAGCCATTATTGTTAGAAAGAATATGATTCTAAATATACTGAAAGTCTGGTGACATGTACAAGACAGGAAAAGCACCTTTATTCACTCGTAATAAATATTTTCCTGTTCATTCCCTACATAAACTAGAACAATTAATATTTTCCTCAGCTTTCCTGGAGAATGAGATATTTGACCTGAAACTTTCTCTATTGTGATACTGCTAGCATTAATTAAGTGGCAGTATTCAAGATTAATTGGAGACAAGAAGACTAGTTGGGAAATTGTTTTGTCATAAAGTAGAAAATAGTGCCATGATGGAAGGAATGGAAAGGAAATTCAATTTCAGAAATTTCACAAAGGAAATATGGTTAGATCATTGAGGTTGAATTTGCAGAATTTAGTAATATACACCAAGATTGCAATTTGAGAGCTAAAAGCTGTTTCAAGTTCAGTGTTCTATGGACTAAACTGTGTTCCCGGAAAATTCATAGGTTGAAACCCTAACCCCCAATGTGACTTATTTGAAGAGAGGAACTTTAGGAGGTAAAGTTCAATGGAATTATAAAGGTGGGGCCCTAATCCAATAACACTGGTGTCCTTATGAGAATAAAAAGAGACACCAGAGCTCTTTTTCCCTGTACACAGAGGAAAGGCCACTCAGAGAGGGTGGCTGTCTGCAAGCCGGTAAGAGAGCTGTCATCCAAAATTGAATGGATGGACACTTTAATATTGGACTTTCCAGGCTCCCAAACTGTAGCATAATAAATTTCTGTTGTTTAAGCTACTCAGTCTGCAGTGTTTTCTTTTATACACACACATAATACACACATACACACACACACACGCCCCCATATTTATATACTGTGTATACACATTATATATATATTTTGTTATATATACATGTATGTATACACACATATATATATAATCTTATTAAAATCTTATATATGTTATATTTGTCTCTATTAACTAAAATTTAAGTACCATGAGGGCAGGAATTTTAATCTATTGTGTTCACCACTGTTTCTACACTGTCTAAAACAGTGCCTTTCCCAGTCCTAAGCAAAAAGAACAAAGCTGGAGGCATCATGCTACCTGATTTCAAAGAATACTACAGGGCTACAATAACCAAAGCACCATGGTACTGGTACAAAAACAGACACATGGACCAACAGAACAGAACAGAGAGCCCAGAAATAAGGCTGCACACCTACAACCATCTGATCTTTAACAAAGCTAACAAAAATAAGCAAAGAGGAAAGGACTCCCTATTCAATAAATGGTGCTGAGATAACTGACTAGCCATATGAAGAAGATTGGAACTGGACCCCTTCCTCACACCATATACAAAAATTAACTCAGGACAGATTAACAACTTAAATGTAAAACCCCAAACTACAAAAACCCTGGAAGACAACCTATGCAATACCATTCTCGACATAGGAACAGGCAAAGATTTCATGATAAAGACACCAAAAGCAATTGCAACAAATGCCAAATTTGACAAACAGGATCTAGTTAAACCAAAGAGCTTCTGCACAGCAAAAGAAATTATCAACAGAGTATACAGACAACCTACAGAATGAGAGAAAATTTTTGCAAACTACGCAGCTGACAAAGGTCTAATGTCCACCATCTATAAGGAATTTAAACACATTTACACACACACACACAAACCCAATTAAAAAGTGGGCAAAAGGACATGAACAGACAATTTTCAAAAGCAGACATACATGCAGCCAACAAGCATATTTTAAAACGCTCAGCATCATTGATCGTTAAAGAAATGTAAATCAAAACCACAATGAGATACCATCTCACACCAGCCAGAATGGCTATTATTAAAAAGTGGAAAAAAAAAAAAAAAACAAACAGCAGGTGCTGGTGAGGTTGCAAACAGAAGAGAATGCTTATACACTGTTGGGGGGAGTGTAAATTAGTTCAACCATTGTGGAAAAAAGTGTGGCAATTCCTCAAAGACCTAAAAACATAACTACCATTTTACCCAGCAATCCCATTACTGAGTATATACCCAAAGGAATATAAATCATTCTATTACAAAGACACATGCACACATATGTTCATTGCAGCACCATCCTCAATAGCAAAGACATGGAATCAACCTAAGTGCCCATTATTGGTAGACTGGATAAAGAAATTGTGGTATATGTACACCATGGAATACTATGCAGCCATAAAAAAGAATGAGATCATGTCCTCTGCAGGAACATGGATGGAGCTGGAGGCCATTATCCTTAGCAAACCAACACAGGAACAGAAAAACAAATATCACATGTTCTCACTTATAAGTGGGGGCTAAATAATGAGAACAAATGGACACATACAGGGAAACAGCTGACACCGGGACCTAGTGGAGGGTGGAGGTTGGGAAGAGGTAGAGTATCAGGAAAAATAACTAATGGGTATTAGGCTTAATACCTGGGTGACAAAATAGTCTGTATAACCAACCCCCATGACACAAGTTTACCTATATAACAAACCTGCACATGTACCCCTGAACTTAAAATAAAAGTTAAGGGAAAGAATAGTGCCTTTTTCATAGTAGGTGTTTTACAAATATATACTTAGTAAAGGAATGAAATAATGCCAATATTTGAATGTGGTTTTGTATATGACTCAAACCCATATAGATCTGTACCCTATTTCTATCATATTTCCATTCCTTTCTAAAAATGTATTTTCTATGTTGACTTACCTGAATACTGTTATTCTAAGGTCCACTTGGATAATTTATATATAGTTTCATAAATGAGTAGATTTTAGCAGAGGTGATTGGCCCATATTAGAATGTAATTCAAAACTTGAATTTATTATTTTAAATTGAATATAACAGCTTGGTTCTATGTGTCATAAGTAGAGTTAAAGTCATATACCTTTCTTATATTTCATTCTTCCGTGTCATCACACAACAATGAAGGGTACATAATGCTAAAATGAGCACATTCATTGACTGCACATCTCAGGAAGAAATAAAAGAATATAACCTGATTATTTGAAGTTACAGAGGCTAGATATGGGGACATCTAATAAAAAGTTTGAATAATTTCAAAACATATCTTTTTATCTTTGTGAGATTTTCTCTGGTATTTACATTTTCGTATCAGCATTTCTCATGATCTAGGAGTTCCTACTACTTGAATTAAACTATCATGTTTTCTAATTCTTACAAGCTAGATTTTTCCTTCCCTTACAGAGTCTCATTTCTCTACCCACTTACTGAAAAGGTAGTATTTTCTGTGTGTGTCTTAAAATGTTTTTAGATTGCAAAACAAACAAAAAAACTCTCAAAAACATGCTGTTAACTTCTGCCAGCTGTTTAATTAAGCAGATTTTATAGGAATGTGAACAATAAAAAGCAAAATTCTGGAGCTATATTGCAATCCAGATAATATTCTTATCCTCAGAGGAAAAAACAATGACCTTCACTTAAGTTCTGCTATATTATTGGCTATGATTTGAATAAGAAAGCTTAGTATGACAACTGCAAAACATATACTTGGAGAAAAATAGCCTAAAATATAAAACTAAGGACAATGTAGGAGCATGTGTGTTAATGCATAACAGACCCACAGACACAGTGGGTATCACAAGCCCTTTTAATCAAGACAGAAATATGCACATATATATCATGAACATTAATGAAACTTGTGGAACTCCTCCATGGTTCCAAATTATGTCCTGTCTCAAAATACATTTATGTACCTTATGGTAAAGTGATCTTTGAATAATGGGATCACTGACCATTACAGTTCACCGATGAATACTTCTAAGGAGGAAAGGAGAGAAAGCTAACTATAAGACTTAAACAGCACCTGCTGTCAGCTAAACAAATTAGCTGCCCTGAAATCACATGTACCCACAAGGAATGAATAGCACAACCTTTACCTAGGAGACTGCCTTCGGAGGAAAATGCGCAGAATAGAAATAGCCAGTATGATATGGCTTGGTTGTGTCCCTACCCAAAATCTCATCTTAAATTATAATCCCGGTAATCCTCATAATCCCCATGTGTCAAGGAAGAGACCAGGCGGAGGTAACTGAATCATGGGGGAGGTCTCCCCCATCTTGTTCTCATGATATTGCGTGAGTTCTCACAAGATATGATGGTTTTATGTGTGTGGTAGTTTCTCCTGCATTCATTCTCCTTCCTGCTGCCTTGTGAAGAAGGTGCCTTGCTTCCCCTTTGCCTTTCACCATGATTGTAAGTTTCCTGAGGCCTCTCCAGCTATGTTGAGTTGTGGGTCAATTAAACCTATTTCCTTTATAAATTACCCTGTCTCAAGCAGTGCTTTATAGCACTATGAAAATGGACTACTACAAGGCTTCTAATTGTTATCCCAAATTTGTTCAGCTTTTGACAAATCTGTATACACATTTGTCTTTGATTTTTAGCTGTTTGTTTGACTTTTTAACTTTTTAGCTATTAAATTTTATCATTTACTAGGCTAGAGCAGAAATGATAATACAGGTTTTTCCTCATTTCTTAAGGTGTGATTAATTACAAACATGGCCAAAATTCTTGCAATTCCTCTCCTTGAATTTGGGCTGACCATGTGACTTGCTTAATCGGTGTGGCAAAAGCAATGTAACGTGAGTTCTGTACCTGAGCCTCAAGAGGCTTTGCAAAATTCCATTTTCACTCATGGGATTCTGTGATTAAACCGGCCTTTTGGAGGATGGGGCATAAGCTGTTCTAACTAATTCATCTTAGATAGCCAGTCTCTAGCTAGCATGGCAAGCTGATCACCAACATATGAACTAGTCCAGTTGAGATCAGCTAAACCTAGCCCAGATCAGAAAAACCACCTACTGAAGCCCAGTCCAAATGGCAGAACCACAGAATTATGAGCTAAATAAAAGGCTGCCATTTTAAGCAACTAAGTTTTAGAGGAGCTTGGAACACATCAAAAACTAAATGACACAAAAGGTTAGCTGAGAAACATTTTTTAAAGACAAAATGTATTTTAATCCAGCTTAAACAGAATATCTTTATTTTGGTTAACTTTAAATTAATAGATGAAATAGGTAATGATAACTATACAGGGCTAAAACATTTTATATATGGTTAGGTTTGAGTGTAAAATTTTTATCTCCTTTGTTCTTTTTTTTAAGTCAGTTTCTGGGCTTCTTTTTAGCAAAGCAAACAGTTATTTGGCTCTAATTACAATCAAAATTTATAAAAAAAATTTTTGAAGTCAAAGTAAAAAATCCAGAATATTGGAATATGGCTAATAACCAAAATCTTCCTCTCCTTCTAACACTACTTTAATATCTCACTAATATTTCTATTCCTTACTCCCTGGAATAAATTGAAATAGGATAACAAGATAAAATTATACCTGGTTTTTCATTCTGGGTTTTCTTCATTGATAAATAGAGGGTTATGAAGTCAGAAATATAAGACTATTTTCTCCTGAGATTTCATTAAAGATACGATATTAGGAAGACTGAAGGCTATTGTGCTGGCTTACCACATCATATACTTCCAACCATCAGAAGTGAATGACAATGCAATAATGCAAAAGAACTCAGCTCTTATCAACCACAGAAGCATTTAGAATTTCTGTGACTGCTCTTTGAGTACAAACGATTATTACTAAACTTTGTCAAACTGGGAAGATTAAAAGATTTTTCAGGGTTGTGTAAGTGCAATACCATAAATACTCAACCAAGTAGAAACTGCTTCAGCAGGTTAAACTAATGTGGGGAAGACACTAGAAATATCAGAATTCAGAAACACTGACTCCAATGCATTGTTTTTTTCATATTTCAGAATCTGCTAAAAGTTGAAAACCAGATTAATTGCGGCCATAGAAAAGCCTTCTCATCTGTCATTTGAATGTGAAAAGAAATTACTTGAAATGTAGTGGGCATTCTACATTTCAAGAAAGAAAGAGGGTCGATGAATGAAATAAGCAGAAAAAGGAACAGCTTAGAATATGATATGTAGAGATACCTGAGGATAAAGAAACAGTGAGAGCGAATCTGTAGATAGTCTGGAAGGAGATTAGCAGAAAATATACATAAAAAATCACATCAGTTGACATCCCTCTACTCTGTGACATTGTGGTGGCGTCTAAGAAGGTCATCAGTGTTTCTCAGTATCTGGCATTCCTGCCCCTATGTAATGTCCTTCGCTTGCATGTGGGCTAGACTTACAGCAGCCAGGAGGAAGTGTCACTTCCAAGATTAGGTTATAAAAAGCCTGTGGCTCCTATCCTGGGCTTTCTCTCTCTCTCTCTCATCTGTCCTGGAAGAAAAGTAAATTGCCAGCTGTTGTGAGGATCCCTGCACCCACATGTAAGATAATAAGGCATGCTAACAACCATGTAAGTGAGCTTGAAAGTGAATGGCATCCTACACACACAGCTGAACCTTCCAGTGAGACTGCAGGAATGATCACCAGTTTAACTCCAGCCTCACAAGAGATACTGAGCCACAGGCACCCAGCTAAGTTTTTCTGGGATTCCTGACCCATAAAAACTGAAATAACATGTTTCTTATTCATAGCTGCCTAATTTGGGGATAATTTGTTATACAGGAACAGATAGCTAAATAACCACCTAAAATATAGAAAAGAATAGTTTTCTCCGTCCTTCCCTCCCTCTCTTCCTCCCTCCCTCCCTCCCTCCTTTCCTTCCTTCCTTCCTTCCCACCCTCCCTCCCTCCCTCCCTCCTCCCTTTCTTTCTTTTTGCCAAAAAAGCAAAACCAACAAACAAACTAAAATCTAGACAGTCTTTCTTTTAAAAGCAAAGAAAGGCTGGGAGCGGTGGATCATGCCTGTAATCCCAGCACTTTTGGAGGCAGAGGTGGGTGAATCACAAGGTCAGGAATTGGAGACCAGCCTGGCCAGTGTGGTGAAACCTCGTCTCTACTAAAAATACAAAAATTAGCCAGTGTGGTGGCGGGTGCCTGTAGTCCCAGCCACTCAGGAGCCTGAGGCAGGAGAATTGCTTGAACCCAGGAGGCAGAGGTGGCGGTGAGCTGAGATTGCCCCACTGTACTCCAGCCTGAGCAACAAAGCAAGACTCCATCTCAAACAAACAAACAGACAAACAAAAACAAAGAAACTTCCCAGCACTTTGGGAGGCTGAGGAGGGTAGATCACCTGAGGTCAGGAGTTCAAGACCAGCCTGGTCAACATGGTGAAATCCTGTCTCTACTAAAAATACAAAAATCAGCTGGGCATGGTGGTGCACGCCTATGGTCCCAGCTACTCAGGAGGCTGAAGCAGGATAATCGCTTGAACCTGGGAGGCAGAGGTTGCAGTGAGCCGAGATCATGCCACTGCACTGCAGCTTGGACAACAGAGTGAGACTTGGTCTCATAAGTAACTAAATAAATAAGCAAAGAAACTGTGCAAAGAGAGGTAAGGCTCTTTCTGTGGATGTTCTCTATTTGGGCATTAGTTTGTCTGCTATATGCCTGCTACTTCCAAAGAAAAGCCTGTAGCTCTCCATACTCTGTTTATTCTCAACCTGACAAGCAGTCCAGACTGGTGCTAAAGAACAGAAGATACACATCGAGATCCCTTTGGAGGTAGGTTGTTGAGGGAAAGAGATAAGGTTTGATAGAATTAAAACTGTGACTGGGAATTTAAAATGATGATATAATAAAGGCAAGAGATTCAATACAAGAAAAAATAAGTATGTTGAGTAGCTCATGGAAAAACAAAACTATAGAAAACAAATATGATTCAAATATAACGCAAAATAAAATGTCCTGATTTCTGAGCAACTGATAAGTGCAAGGGAATCCACTTGACCTTGATCCTAGAGGTGGAAAAATTCTCCTTTGAGTAGTCCAGGTAATATGATATTTAACTCATAAAAAAAGAAAGGTAATCTTAACATATAACTGAGATTAGTATTGGATAATATTTACACAGTAATGGTAATCTAAATGGTCTTCATTGTTTTCCACTTTAGAATCCTCATAATCCAAATAAAATATGGGAGATTTAGTTGTGGTTGGTTGTCAGACAGAATGTTAAAGTTAACATCCCTGGAAATAAAATGAGATCATGAGATGAGGAAAAGAAGAGGGAAGCTAGAGGAATGGGGAGGAGCATAAAAAATATCTTTAGCTTACTAATGTGGATACTTAAGAGATAAGAGATATTCTTGTAAATTAATGGAACAAGAAATTAGATGCAACTATATTACTTAAAGCAACAAAATTTATATATAATTTACATATAGTTTTATCTAATATATATCAAGTATTATATATATAATATTTTATACACATACAGACATAATTCACAGGAGAGAAAAAAGCAAAAGAAAGGATTAAAGCCTGAGCTAATCCTCAATTTTCATATCCAGGATTGTATAAGTATTGTATAAAAGGAATAAATAAACAAATGGAACATAAGCATATTATTTGGAGATATGGAGCTAATTACCAAAAAGAATTATTAAAAGACATTTACTCTGGGGAATAAGACTGGGAGTGATGAGGGGATAAATGTGGTATCGTTGCTTTTTTATATACCATCTTCTAAACTATATTGATTTGTTTTTATGTGCTTGCTTTATATTAATGAAAACAATGTATCAATTATTCCCACTTACATATGTACAACAAAGCAAAAAAGTGAATTCTGGGAGTAATCTGTTACTAGTTTCAGGAATAGTTTTAAAAAGGAAGGTATAACTGGTATTTGCAATTTGAGTTATCATCCATTTAAATATATTGTATTTTCTTTTTTTTTCTATTTCCTTTTGCTTTTTTTAAATTACACTTTAAGTTTTAGGGTACATGTGCACAATGTGCAGGTTTGTTACATATGTAAACATGTGCCATGTTGGTGTGCTGCACCCATTAACTCGTCATTTACATTAGGTATATCTCCTAATGCTATCCCTCCTCCCTCCTGTATTGATAGGACGTATCTCAAAATAATAACAGCTATCTATGACAAACCCACAGCCAATATTAATATATTTTATTTTCAAATAAGCCACATAGCAAGAATAAATTCCTTTGACATTTCCTAGGCTTTATCAAGATCTGTCTGTTGTGAGGAATTCATTCCACTACCCAAACTTCATTTAAGTCTTTGCATCCAATTAGTGTTATCCCAACATGTCCCTCTAATCTCTTCTTTTGCTTCTCTAGTTCTTTGTACTTCATTCCCATTTTTATTTGCCTATAAAAAAATCATAGTTTTTACATGCTTAAACTCTGCAATGAGTGTCTTTTAAAAATGTTATACATTTTCCCTATTTCGATCTGGTTTTCTAGATGTCTAAATATCAACCTTATGCACAGCTTGTCTTGTAGCCCTGTCAAGAGTCACTGGTGCAAACTGGTTCTGTAATCATTAGGCTTCCTAGAGATTTTCGCCTGTTTCTTCCACTCCCCCTAACTGGCTGAAGACATCAAAAAATCAGACAAACTGAAAATGTGAATTCTCGACTCTTTGAAATGGGCAAGCTACTTGCAAAATTGTGAAGTAAGTTTTAGCTATTTGTCTGTGGCTCACCACAGACAGCAAGGAAAAGGTAAACTCCTATGAAGACAATAAGAGATGATTTCCTGTAGAGAATTTAAAAACAATAACAAAGGTGACTGAAAGTCAGACTGCTTTTTATTATTAGAGTGTGTCAACAAGTCTAAACAATGTCAGTGATAAAATATTCCTCTTGAGAGGGGACCATTAACAATGCCCCTCCTCCACCTTGGTACGGCACTATAACCCAAAATGATGAGACTCTAGTAAACCTCTGGAACAGGGTTTTACACATGTTAATCTGTAACCTGGTAGGCAAAATTATGCCACTTTGGGCCCGTCTCTTTTCCTTTTAGGGACAACTACTGGTGCCTCCTTCCTAGTCTTATGAGAAGAATGTCAGTAGCATAAATTGAAATGGGAATTTTGCTTCCTGCATATCGCATCCACCCCTTTTTCTTAAATAAATATGCACATGCTTTTTAAAAAACCAAACAACTGTAATTTCAAAATGTCTTTATACTGCATAAGAAGGAAGTTAATTCTTTTAACATCTTGTTATATATACCATCTTTATTCTCTGCAAATATTGATTAATCTAGGAAAATTCAGGACTGATACGGTTTGGCTGTGTCCCCACCCAAATCTCATCTTGAATTGTAGTTCCCATAATCCCCATGTGCCACGGGAGGGACCCAGTGGGAGGTAACTGAATCAGGGAGGTGGTTTCCCCCATGCTATTCTCATGATGGTAAGTTCTCATGAGATAAGGGGCTTCCCCCTTCTCTCATTATTCTCCTTTCTGCCACCATGTGAAGAAGCATGTGTTTGCTTCCTCTTCTGCCATGATTGTAAGTTTCCTGAGGCCTCCCCAGCCCTGCAGAACTGTGAGCCAATTAAACCTCTTTCCTTATAAATTATCCAGTCTTGGGCCTGTCCTTATAGCAGCGTGGGAATGGACTAATACAAGGACTGAGCAATACACAACATTTATCTTAGCATCATTTTATGCATTCTGTGTTCATTATTTATTCAAAAACCACTTACTAAGTGTCCTTTTTGTATCAAACACTGCATTAGGTGCTGAGCATACACACATTAAGACAAAGGTCTTGACTTTAAGATGCTTGTCAAAAAAAAAACTTAAGGTTATAATCTCTAACAGGTAGATCATTATCTATCTATCTATTTAAATGAATCTCTATTCATCTATCTTTTCCAAAGTGCTATGAAAACAGGAAACAGGTTCTGCTTGGGGTTGTTCAGGAAATCATAAAGTGAAATGCAAAGTCTAAAATCTTCCTGTGCCATTAACACTAACAAAGCTTTAGTATTTTTCAAATGGAGAAGTGTATCATTAACTAGATCACAGGTACAGTCGCAAAACAAGAAAAGGAGGAAATAGGAACACTGCTGGCAGATGAGTCAGTATATCAGAAAGTGGGAAGTTGCATTTTGAGTTTAGGCAATGTGAACAGTTTACTAATAGCATACCAAATACAAATTTCAGACTAGATTCTTTATACATGTGTTTTTTTACTTTTCTGAATCAAATTCCCAAACAATGTAGAATGCAAAGTTATATAAGATAATTGACAAAGTTACATAAGATAATTGAGCCATTAAATAAAAATGGAAAACTCCAGTCACAAAAATGTCTGAAACTACAGTGAAAATTCTCTCTTTGGACAGTGGAAAGCCCTCAGTTCAGAACAGAACAAGTTGGGCACTTAACTTTCCTGCAGTGTCTTATCTTCTATCTTGTATTAGATTGCCATGTAGACCCTGTCAAGAAACATTACCAACTGCTAGTTAATGCTGTGCACGGAAAAGTCAGACTTGGTAATGTCACCACAGAATTTGAAAGGATATTAATGGGTCCTTTTCATTTCTGAAAAAATAGAGATTAGAACCAGAGAACTTCCCTTCAAGGACAATTTCTTTTGGAAGAAACTTATATTCCCTTTGGATCCATGAACACAAGTACCTACATCATTTTCTAGCTGTGGACTCACTCTTTCAAAACATACTCAGGGACAGCTGATGCAAAGGTAAGCTTGGAGGTGTAGAAAATATAAAAATCAGTTTTTCTCAAGTGTGTTCCAGGGCCAAATTTTTACTGCTGAATTTTAAATGCTGGTCTATGTTTAAGGAAGATCTTATAACAGCTAGCATAGCATGGCACAACACATAGAGACTCCTCACTTGGTTCATTCTCCAATATTTTGGGGAATCTATAGTTGAATATATTTGTTACTTGGTCCTGGAGTAATGTGGGCCAAATGGAGAATCATTTCTCTTATTTGAGATTTGGGTCATCATGTGTGAATCTGTAGTGTCTAGAATAAGGCCTAGCATATGGAAGGAAGAATGAAAAAAAAGGGAGAAAGAAGAGAAGAAAAAAGGCAATAGCACAGTGGGGATGAGGATACTAAGGAAGAACAAATGAGCACCTGCTATGTGCCAGATGCTATGCCATGAGCTTTATTTGTGCAAGTTTATTTGATACTCTCAAAGAATGTGGCAAAACAAACATGATTTTAAAGTTCTCATTGTTATTGCTTCATACTTTACTCCATGTCGCAGTTAAACATTGAGGTTCACAATTATAACAGTCTTGGAGTTTTCTCAATAGCATATAATTTATTCCATGTAAAGATGAAGATAAAAAAATGTAGCTTCCCCCATATGCCTCTAGGGTACTCTGTATGTCCTGCTGAAGTAGAAAAGTCCTAGAAGGGAGCTAAGGGGGCCGAGGCTACCAACTACTCTATTAAATCTACAGACTTGATGGTAATGTCTATTTTAGAAGAAGCTTTCCGCAAATGCAACTTAGATTTTAAAGACATCAGCAAGAGAATGTGGATAATTCCAGAGTGAGGGTAGTGTCTAGCACATTGCCAACACTTAAGACGTGAAACACTTAAGAAGCATGTTTCCCCAATATGCTTGTTATTAAAAAGAGTCTAAAATATCTTTTCTCCTTTAAATTTGTCTCTGAGATTCAACTGTGTTAGTGATGCTGTTAATAATATACTCTAAATCTGTCATGTACAAAAGCTTTGCTATTGTTGATGTAGGGCACTTTATAATTTATGTATAGATTCACTAGTAATCTAAGGTGTGAGAAATGGTTCTTCAAAAAAATCCTGAATTGCTAGGTATTTATCCTCAAGAATAGCATAATAATACCTAGCAAAGTGTGCTACATATATTAGTTGCACATAAGATTTTGCAAATTTGTAATTCTAAATGAAAATTTTGTGGATTTACAGGCAACATATAGCATGGTAAAAAAAATACACACGTACATACACTGCCTATTTTGTTTTGTTTTGTTAATTACCATTTGGAATGCTTACTGGATAAACCATTGGTTAACACAAGTGCTATTTGTCTGCTTGAGATTTCATATAAAGAGAATAGTGATAACAAGAATACAGTGAAAGCTGTTTGGTAAATGCTGAATAAAGGCAGAGAAATTACCTGAGCCTTCTCCTGAGGTCCCAGCCTAATGGTGTTAATGTATTTTTTATTGCTGGAGAACTTTTCAGTGATACCAACAACAACAACAACAACAACAACAACAAAACTAACATAGGCTCTAGATGATAAAACATGTAAGAAATTAACATAGAGATTTAAAACTAATATTGACTTAGTTTTTTGAACAAGCTTAATGTTTACATATATCATGAAGGAGAATAGCAAGTATGGTTAACACACACATACACTTGTATACACAAAATTATCTTTTTTGTTTTGAGACAGAGTGTCACTCTGTTGCCCAAGCTGGAGTGCAGTGGCATGATCTTGGCTCACTGCAACCTCCGCCTCCGCCCAGGTTAAGCAATCCTTCTGCCTCAGCCTCCCAAGTAGCTGGGACTACAGGCGCGTGCCACCATGCCCGGCTAATTTTTGTACTTTTCCTTCCTCCTTCCCCTCACAGACAATGATTATTATATGTAAGAGATGAATAAATCAACAGGTGTAACACAAACATAGGTATGTATTGAAAATCAGAAGTTCACAAAGTATTACAGAACAATTTGTAGAGCTGATAAAAACTAAGACAATTAAACTAGGTTATATTCTTGCTACTTAGACAAGAACTAATTATTTAATAAAAAGATATTACTTTGTCCTACCACTGAGACTAGACATTTTAGAGGAAGTGCCAACTTCACCAGTCCTGAGAAAATTCCCACTGAAATCACTGTCATGTATCGACTAGGTACACAGACTTCATTCAATATCTCCAATGCTGATACAGAATATATCAAAAGAGATATCGAGAATCATGAGCCCAATCTAGTCTAACTCACAGCTGGAAGTACTTGAAGTTTTTCATTCTCAAGTTGAAAAATTAGTATATAATGAATTCTTAAGCTCCTTAATCAAAATATGTTATCCAGGATAGATACAGAAATCATATTTGCAAGATTCAGTATCACACCATGAATTACCTTCTGTGTGTGACAACTGGGGAACAGACACAAGAAACTTCCTGAGTGCTCAGTCAACAATAATTTGAAGTTGGTGAGGAAGTAGGGGAGGTTGCATAAAACAGCGCAAGTTATGGGAATCCTTGGACAGCTCTTCGTTGTCCAGGACTGTCCCAGCATTGCAGTGTGTGTAGTCCTCATGGACCTCACGATAACTCTCTCTTTGTGTTATTACCTGCCCTCCACTGCCGCTTGCTTCCCATACATACATCCCTTAGGGGAATGGTGCTGCCTCATTCAACAGAGAATTCAGCTTGGTACATGCCACACAATTGATGTGCTGCTGAAGAAACATAAATTCACAGCTACTCTTCAAGGGCAGAGAAAATAGCTTTAAAGGTAAGAAAGATGCTTTAATTTACAGTGTGTACCTGAAGAATGCTTCTCAGACATGACTTTCAGATGTATGGTGCTCACCTGTGACAGGTACTTTGAACATTTCTTTATATTTTAAGATGAACATATGAAATTTCTATTTTTTATAGTTAAAAACTGGTGAAGTGGCCATCATTTCATATGGTTCCTATACTCTTGACTCCTATAATCCTCACAATAAACTTATGAGGTAGGAAACTGAGGTCTAAGTAACTCACAGCTAGTACGTGGTAAACACAATGCTGGGATATAGGTGGGCATTTTGGCTTCTGGAGTCAACGCCCTTGACCACTATGCATAGTGCCCCAACATCCCACACAAGCTTTCAGACCTTAGACTCCCAGAACGCAGGGCCTCATCATCTGATCATGTTAGGTGTCCAGCATGGAACCATATTTATAGGCAATGCCTAAATAGATACTATTAGAAGGAGTAATACATGATACAAAACTCAACTTCACTCATGACTCAAACACTTACTGTGTGACCTTCGACAAATGGTTCCCATTTCTGAGGGCTAAACTTTTCAGTCTATCACATAGAATGTATATGGATGCATTAAGGAAGGGAACAATATGACTGTATTTGCATTTTCAAAAGGATAGTCTGACAGTTGGGTGGAGATCACAATGGAGGTGGTTAAGACTATGAGAAAGCAGGAGGTGATGAGATTCTGAATAAAGGCAATACGTAAGAGCAGAATATAGATCACCTCAATGTATCCTGAAAAAAAGTGGGCAGCATAGCCTTGGGTAAGTTAGCTTTTCTATGCCTCAATTTCCTCCTTTTTGAGGAGGAATAATAATATCAAGTTGTACTTTTTGAGTTTCCATCTCTTCCTCAGACATATATATATATGTCTGAGGAACACACATATATATATGTTCTGCAGGATATGATTACACTTCTGATTTAATTAGCAAAATATTTATTAGAAGCCAGAGGACCACAGAGGCCAGGTCCTTCTAGAGGTTAGGAGCAGGTAAAGTATATCTTGGTGTTGCTTTTGATCTTTTCTCTGGCTTCCAGTTTCCTAAGAAAGCTAATGCTGCCAGTGGCACTATCCATACAGGGTGCAGTCCTTCTGGGTCTGAAGAAATGCCTGAAGATTAATATACCAAAGTTTTATGAAATTGATACCTACATCTCGAATACTTTACGCACATCCATTCAAAAGAGATTTCCATTTCATGGTTCCCTTCCACACACAGGCATCCCCCTCTTCCTTCCTCTGTTTTTTTTTCTTTTTTCCTGCAGCCTTTGACATCCCACACTATTCGTTTTCTTGTCTATTGCCCATCTTCTCCAACTAGAACATAAGTTCGGTGCAGAAAAGTCTAATTTTGATCAATGCTGTATTTCTACAGACTAGAAAGGTAGTAGAAAGGTACCTGAGATATAGCAAGTGCTCATCAAACTTGGTTAAGTGAATGAATGAATGGGTATATGAATATATTTATCTCGGACTAGCTTTGTGAGAAGACATCTCAAAACCAAGCTTGCATCTACCAATAGAGCATTTTGTCATCTAGTAAAACCTCCAGACCCCAAAGAAAATGCACCACGCAGAACTTAAAAAAAATCCTTTAAAATGCATTACTCTAGTACTTTTTCTTGCCAGTAATGAGAGGAGAAAAACAAAGTCTGAATAACTGTTGCTTACACGCATTTAAAATTACAATACATTACACTCTTCTCACCAGGCACCATTAAGTTCAGGAGAACATGCCTTTGTATATATTTTAAAATACACATCAAAGTGTTTTTCTTTGAAATATGCACTAAAATTTGCTGTAAAAATGTACATTAATTTAAGTGAATTCAGAAGATTGATTGGACTAGGGAAAATAAATTAATTATTCATGTCACCAGTATTTTTTAAATGCACAGTGGTTATCAGGAACATATATAATTATAAGTAATGCTATTATTTTTTAATAGCAAAGTTACAGCTAAGGTTAATTAATATTTTTAATAAAAATAAAATTTTGTTCTTTGAAGTTGCAAAATGTATTTTGTTAGCTCTAAATATTTTTCAAGGAAATGTGTGTGAATTCTGCTTACATTTTTCAAACAAATAATATTCATTTTTCATGAGTACCTCCAAAGCCTCCAAGCAAGCAACAGAAGTGTCCAATATATTCAAACATTCTTTTCTTGCATAAACATTAATTGGGTTCTTTTTCAGAAAACCCAACTGGGAATCAAATGCTACTGACTTTAATAGGATGTCTCATATGTGAAATGAATGTCTCTTACAATCTACCAATGATATTTCTTGAACTCTCAATAGTTCCTTTCCTTGAGTAGGTTTGCTAACTCTACCCTGAAAAAATGCCTAACTGAAACCATGGAACTGCTCCAATACATTTCACTCATATTTACTGATTCTGTCTCACTTTATAATTTAATTTCTTCCCAAGAGTTGCAAACTATAGTCAAAAACCAGAATCTCTCAAAATTTTATTCTCTCTCTTTTCTCAACATTGTTGAAATAAGATAAAAAGAAAATAAAAAAGGTTATGGATTCTAAAAACCAGGCAAGGATACCACAGACAAATTTTGCTCTGAATATAAAGAACAGGACATAATATGTATTATTCTTATGAAGTATGCTTTTCTTGCAAAGGTAAATTTTGGATATGCTGTAAAAGTAGAGTATAATATAATTTATAGACCAAATGGCATACTTTTGAGAGTCAAAAATATACTATTAATAATTACACTGAACATCAGGTATGCACAGGTACTATCCAGGCCAACTGGGCTGCATGGCCACATGATGGAAGACAGAGGTGAAATCTATGTTTTGGTAAATAATCATGAGAAGACCTAATTAAGAGCATCATCACTAGAATCAAAGAAATCTTAGAGCTGAGTACAACTTAAGAGTTTCCTAGTTCAACCTACTTATTTTACAGAGGCAGCAAGGCCAAAGTACAATGATGTGACCCAAGTTGTCCAAGTCACATGACGAGATAGGTGGTTGTGTTGAAAGTGGAAACCAGGTCTCCTCATTCATCATGCTCTTTCCATTATACTACAATCTCTCTACAGTATGTATGTATTCTCTATAGTATGTATGTAGCTTGTAAAATATTCTCGAAGGAAAGAACAAAAAGATCGTAAAATGTGCTATAAAGAACATTCCAGAAACGATGTCACAAGCTTGATCGTAAAAGAAACAGCACAGTTCAATTTTCCTTTCTTTGTGGACAGGCAAAGGAAGGAAGTGTTGTCCTCTTCATGTTGGCTTACATGTACTCATCTCATAAGACATTGCAAGTTTAATTAGAAGAGGGGGAACATTTAGCAGCCAAAAAACTTGCATGATACTCCTGCCACATGCCAAGAAGCTCTCAGAATCTCAAAGAACTTTATACCACCAATAGTTTTTGTGAATATTTGCTTTCTGAGATTAGCCTTCTGGAAAGTTTCATAAAATCAGGAGGCCTTATGGAAACATTTAAAAATTAAATATTCCAAGTAAAATGAATTTTATAAATTTTATAAATTTTATGTAATCCACATAAAAAGTACTATCAATATTGTTATATTCACATTAAAAAGGAACAATTCGATCAGAAGTTTTGGTAAATGTCCCTATTATTTCTTGATATAAATCACATCTTCCTAAAGTAAACATTGGGCTGAAAATTGATTATCATTCAAAGCAAAACTTCTTTTTTTTTTTTTTACTTTTAAAAGGATATTTACTTTAAGTAGGAATATAAACAGGACTTTATGGAGGATATTTTGATGAACACTACTATATTCTCTGAGTCTGTGAAAACTGAAATACATTTCTTCCCTATTACTATCCCTGCAGGATGGCTGAACAAACCTCATCTCATCTATTTGAAATGAGTCCAATTTAATTCTGCCTGACCAAAAATCTGTTTCCATAGTTTTAAAACATGCAATCACCCCAAGGTACATTGCCATTGTAGCTTAAGTGGCTCAGTGTTATCACTGAGAAAAATGCACTTTGATTGAGAAAACAGTCCAGTGTGGCTTTTGAAAAATGAAATGACCCTTTCTGATACACAATTTAGTAAGACAGTTGATAAAAGCAGGCGGATATGGCCACTATAGACAACATTTAAAGGAAGATGCTTCATCCAACCTGTAAAAATAGGTCAAAGTTTACAGTTTCGAAATTAACATTAGAAATTTATCTCATATTTAAACTTCCTGGTTTAAATATTACTGTATTTAGAGGACAATTGAAAAGTCAATTACGAATTATGGAAAATTTTCAACAAATTATTCTGTCACTCAAATATAAATAAATTGCTTTCTTCCCTAATGTTTTTTCCCCATACATACATGTGTTGTTATCTGTATTCATATATATATCTCACTACTTAAGAGACTTTTAAAACCTATTAGCCCAACTTTAAAATACTGTTGCTACTACTGAATACTTGTAACATATTAAGTCAAATTCTTTAATTACTGTCACTGGTTTATTACAAAGCTAACAATTTTAAATATCTATTTTTAAATGAACCTAATAATCTTTTATTTAAGTCAATATCTCCTCAAATGAACCAAGTATTCACTAATTAATTAGATCATTTACATCTATAAACTGCTGCTGTCTTCAAACATGTAATAGCTTATAATAAAAGAGGCTCTTTTCATTGGCAATTAAGGAGCAGTTAACTCTTTACCTTCTGCATTTTAATATTATAAAATGCATAAATCTTTATTTCTGCATTTCTACGTATTTAGCTTTCAAATGAAACAGCTGTTTTGTACTTAAAAATAATATTTCTTAATATATGTTACTAATTGACAAAATACATAAAACCAATGCTGATAATATTTTCTTCTTTTGGGACACACCTGGTTTATATAGGAGATTTGGCAACTGTAATCTCATTAATGATAAAACAAGACTACTAAGAAAAATACCTGATTATTTCAAATTATATTCATAAAAGCATTCCTAACTCTGAATGTCCTCTTGTGAATTATTTTAGATAAAGGAAAGTCTATCAATTTATTTGTTTCATTTTTCCTGTATCAGATTTACTGTAATAACTTGCTTATCAGTAAGTGAACCATAAATCTACAGCAGTAACAAATCATTAATGAAACATTAGCAAAGAATGTTAAATGGAGCTATTGGGCAAACATAAATCTTTCTAAAGTCACAAGTCTTTATCCAAGGAACTAAGTGCTATGATGTTATTGGCAACCTTATAAATCCTAACGAGAGAAAATCAACAAAAGGATCACATTGCAGGCAAACAGTCCTACTAAAATGTATATTCTTTGAGGGCAGGGGTTTCGTTTGCTGTTACCAATATATCCTCATGCCTAGAAAAGTATCTGGCACATGTAGACAGTGATCAATAAATATATATTTGTGAACACCCTATAAGACATCCCATTTTATTTTGTAGCCACATGCAAATAGGAAACGAAAAGAAAAGAGAGAAAAATGAAAATAAGTGCACATGTAGGTACAATATATCCAACACTACATTTAATTTGCATTTTTTGTATTTTTTGCCCATCCCTCTTCTAGGACATTTTCTCTTCATCTATTCTGTTCCTCTCACCCTTTTCCATTCAAAGTAAAAATCAGAGTCAATTTTCTTCATTTTCTGGGAAACATGTTAATTCATATTTGGGGTGCTGATACAAACAGAATTTGCCTTCTATTATTTTCCTTCCAAACTGGATGCAGGTCTGTTTCAAATGCAAGAAGTAAAAGCAAATTTAAATATAATTATCATTCTTGCTTCTTCAGAATGCATTTTTCTGGAAAAGTAGGGATCGTGTATTTGGAAAAGCTTTAAATGGCACCTACTGAATATACTCACTATCAGTAAAACAGAACAAAACGAAACAATTAATTTTGGACCAAGGATAATACACAATTCTGAAAAAATTAACAACTGGATACATACAAAGGCTGCAAATACCAACAGGAATCTAATGGCATTTGAACAGCATCTAACAGCATTTCGAATAAGGTTTTTTTTTCCCTGTGTTCTTCACTGATGGAACACCAATATTCAAACCAGTGCCTGAAATGTAGTAGGCAATCAATAATTATGTCCTGATTGAATTAACATACTTCCAAGTTGTGCAAATGCCACATTTAAAAATCATATTCTTCAAAAATTTTAGGCACAAGATTGAAATAAGCTAATTAGAGTTAATTGTAGGTGAGGGCAATTAATCACATACACAAAATACCTCATATTTTGGGTTTGTGTGCTCAGATAAACCAATAGAATGTTTTTTTATTTTTAAATAAATAGTGAAAGAGTATACCCATCATTCACCAAGAAAGCCACATGGCTGGCTATCAATTCAAAACTTTAAACTTCAAAATACTATAGAAGTATTGTACTATTAAAATATCTCTTTTAAGATTAAATTTGCCTTGATTTTATTTTGAAGTGCTGAGCTTAAACAGACAAGGTTTTCAAATATTTCATTAACTTGTTCATTTAAACTAAAAAGTGAAAATCCTATGTAATTAGCAGACGATCTACTCAGCTTGGGCCAGAGGAGGGTTATGGAATCAAGACTATCATTTAGCATCTAACAAACCAAAACAAAATCTTTTGTAAAAGTCCACAAACCTCTAATGAACAACATACACACATTTCATATTCAAACGGAATGCATTATGTTAAGCTAGTTTCAAAGGAAGCTGTAGTGCCTAAGATCAGAAAAATGTTCCAATTTAGAAAAGACGCATATGCAGAAAAGCCCACTATCATAAATAATATAGGATGAAAATGAAGGAATAAAATCCACAGGCTCACCTGGCTAATGGGTTCTTTTGTCGGGGGCTTTCCTCTTCTGGCTGTGCTAGTAGCCAGGGTCGTGGTAGTCTCCATAATTGATGTGGACATCTCTGATTGCATGGCAGTGGCTGTTGACTCAGTTGTCATAGAGGAAGGCACTTCACCAACCAGTCTCACATTTCCCACTATGGCGATGTTGGCATCGTTTTCGGCTGCCATATTCAGAACTTTCAAGCCATTGTAGTACAGCCCAGAGAGCTGGCCCTGGAAGGGCTGGCCCTGCTCTTTCCCGCCAATTATTATGGTTGCTTGGCTATTGAAGATTGTGAGCTGACGCCCTGTAAAAATAATATTACATACATGCAAAAATGTTGATTGTGAACTCTATATCTACAATGGATGATAAAACAGATCTTTTATGGGGTGAATAATGAGAGCAATAAACTATAAGAGAGGCATTTGACTCATAATTCATTGCTTATAAATGAGGTGTCCATGAAATGCATAATTATTGGCAAATACTTGTAAATTCTCAACTTATTATAAATGTAGTGCTTTTGCTAAAAGACCAATCAAAGATATGTATTACAAATCAGTTTTTAGTGGATCCCTTTTCCCTTTTACATCAAGATCTTATATTGTTGGTGTCTAAAGTCTAAATTGTTAAATTTTAAAAATGTAAGACAACATTTCAAGTATTTGTCATTCTGAAATTACCACTGACAGAAACTAATACATAGCAGCTGAAATCTAATTTAAATTTTATGGTAAAAATTTCATAATTCACATAATGTCCACATATATCTATATGTTATTCTTTAGTGCTGTTTATTTTTTGAAGGCAATTATTCATTGTTATTTGAATTATTCTATTTTTCCGGCAATCACACTGAAAAGAAATTCATGGTTTACACTGAGCATGTCAGAGACAAAAAAATTCCAAAAATATTTTTCTGATTGGCTTTCAGCAAGTCTATCAAAACAAAACAAAATGAAAAAAAAAAATAGCTTCAGATGTAAAAAGCGGCTTCAGGAATGATACACAAACCGATGGAGAAATTATGGCACATTTCCATCAAACAGCAATCCTTAATAACAGTACCATTATCATCAAATTGAGTATCCAGTTTTAGCAGATTGCTCTCTGCTCATAAAAGCATGCACACAACTTTAAGTTCAGTTTTAATATGGGCTTGTTCCCAAATCCTCTTAGAAGGTTGCAAATGTTAAAGGGACTTCATTATGACTGGCAATTCATATTGCCCACTATTTAAGATTCCTAGAGTTTAAACAAAGAGTTTTTGTTTTTTTCAGGACCATAATAAAGATATCAGAACTACATATATTTTAGTTAATAATTTAGAGGCTGGAACATGTAATATAGTCTATGAATGATTTATCATTTTGGGTTAATGCTTGCTGTGAGTACCCTCATAGATTGAGTTAGTGGATTATATTTAACAGTCCCTTTAACCTTAAGTTAACTGGGTAAGATTATTAAACAGCTGGTACGTCTAAAAATGTATAGAAATTATTATACAAGGTATGCAAATATTACTATCTACATTTTACTGTTTTAAAGTTGTTTTTAATTTAGTTTTACGGAAAATTTATTTTTTATGTTTATTAGTGTTACAATGAAGTACTACTTGGTTATGTTCAAATTATTTTTTTATTTGAAGTTTTAATCAATGTTTTTTACCTTTGTCGAGTAGCCATTCATCAACTACTCGACCAAGTCGATATGGAATTCGCTGTCTAGCAATCGCCAGGCGCTCGTTATCATTGTTTCCTTTAAAGTTTAAAGAGACATTTCATTGGTTAAAATCTGTAAGGTCAAAGGTTAAAAGTTAATACTTAAAGATTGAGCTATACAGTTGCCACATGATTTTTTGAAATTTGGAATTTTAAAAAGTTCTACCTAGAACATTTCATGTTTCAGACTTGTCATTCATTCATTTATTTTATTTTAGCAAACAAAATTATTCCTATGTTAATTGAAAATTAGAAATCTGCATTTGAGCTAGGTTATTAAACTTATGTTATAGACAGACCCGAACAACCAATTTAAACAGCATATAATAGCTTTACAAAAAATGACCAATGACCTCAGGGTTTTGTCTTTTTGATGTTTCTTATTAACTAGTTAAACATGTTCAGGTGAAACAGGTTTAAGTTTTCAAAATACATTCAACCTCTTATTCCAGATTAATAATTTATGATCACCAAACTTAATACCATATTTGGCACACTGAAGCATCTACAATAGGCCTAGCATACTTTATTTCCTAGTCAGAAAACAGAAATTCTTATTCACCTCATTTAAGAAAACAACAAAGTCCAAATAGTTCTTGTGTATTTCACACAAATTGATTTATCAATCACTTGGACATCACAAGAGAATGCATCTTGCATCATCCAGATACGTTATTACAGGAAAAGGCTTTGACAAAAGTCACTTTATTTGAGTGTCCTTGAGTTTCATTTAAAGCTTAACATGTTGAAGCAAATAACATTTGAAAAAATAATTATATGTATGTTTTTATATAGTCAAATATCTGCTTTTTATTAAGTTATTCTTTAAAAGCATGACAGCTTAAGGAACGAATATAAGCCACAAACAGTGGCCCCTATTCATAGATCTAACCTAAGTGAGAGCCCTGCTTCTTTGCATAAAAAATTATCTGCTAGAAACACTGTTTAAATTGACCTTGAATATTGCTTGCAAATAGATGAGTGTTTTCTTGATCTGTAGAGCACTTACGAAGAATCTGAGACACCATCTCGGTGTTGAGTTGTGTATAATGCAAGAAGAGATTTTCTATTCCATTAGAGTTAACTAACATGGAAATTTAAGCCAAGACATTTTGGCATTAGCTCAGATGAGGACTCAGAGGTGAAAGAAATGTTGAATGGTAGCACTATCTGCATAAAAAGACTGGAGTGTTTTGTTAGAGAAGATAAATGAATAGATTTACATTTTATTCCTCTGATTTACAATAATTTATAAGTGCTTTCTTTTGCTACTCTTATAATACATTATACTTACCACTAATAAGCCCAGCATAATACTGATTACACACTTTTGGAGAGATAGAAAAGAACTATCTTTTAGACCTCATCAATTTGTCATCTGAATGTCTATATGACTGAAAATATTTCACACATTAATATTTAATTTAAAATGTAAATATCAAAGTCAAGGCAAATATAAAGTTTAATGAAAACATTAATATGTATTTCTCTGTATTCTGTGATCACTAAAACATTGTAAAATAATATTTTATAATGTGGGAATATAGTTTTGTTAAACTAATAATTTTTTTAAAAGGACACAAATGGTACAAAATTCCAACCCTGTCTTCATTTTTTAAAAGTGTACAAAATTTGTGTTCTCTGTTGTGTGTTTGCATATATGCATATTTGGAATTTTTTTTTAATGTAATATTAGTTACTTTAGGACAGTGTGATTATTGATCAATTACATGTTTTTGGCTTATAAGTGATTTTATATAATAAGCATGTTTGACATGTGTAATTTGAAAAGCAATCACAAAATATTTTCAAAAATACATACCCTTTGCTCTATAGTCTTATTTGTCACTCAATACTCATACCAACTCACATTGGCATAACACTTCTGACAACTTTATGATTAGGTGGTTCCTCATGTTTTTCATGCTAGAGTCTTCCAATCATCAGGCATGACCCACATTCTCTCAGACACCATCCGAATCTAGGTCGCAAATCCCTCTTGCCCAATTACTACTACAGTCTATTGACAGACCTCTCTACATCTTCTCTGTGATTAATCACACCCATTTTCCATATAAGCCAATATCTAATCATGTCACTTGTCTAGTATAACCCTTCCCATTTCTCTTAGGATAAAATCTCAGACCCTTAGTGAAATTTGTAAGTACTTCCACAATCTGGTCCCTTCCTACCTCCCTGTCCCCTCTCACGGCCATCACTGCCTCACTCTGCTCTTTTTATCCTTATGAGACTTCTTTCAATTCTTCCAAATCTTTTCTTTCTTCTCTCTGGGACTTTGCACATGTAGCTTCCTTTATGGAAAATACTCTCCCTTGTTCCCACCTCATCTCTATCTTTCATTAGCTAACCATTACTAATTAATGGAATCTTCTTGGTAGGAACATTGCTTCCCCAGAAGGTATTCCCTGATGTCATCAGGTTACATTAGGACACTTGACTATATTATTTGTAGCTCCTGAAACATGCCCTTTAGAAAGAAGCATTGAACCTGTAATGGCAAATTTGATAGTTTGCCTTCAAACTCTGAATATCCCTCCATGAGGCCAAGTACTATGCTACTATGTGCAGTATTTATTATTTCTTCAGTGCTTACTTGCACAATATCTATCACATACAATCCTATTAATATCTGTAGAATGAGGTAGTCAAGAAAACCTTGTTTTTAGTTCTGGTAGCTTCTGTTGCACTATTAACACATTCTTACAACCTAACAACATTAAAAAGAAAAAGAAAGCAAATACTAGTGTCCAGAGAATAAACCACTTGTAGCTAAGCCTCCCTTTGCACTTTCCAAAGGAAACACCATAAACCTCACTTATAATTTTATTTTTTGATGAATTGTCACTGATTTGAACATCTCTACAATCAGTTCATTATTTGTTTAATAATAAATTCCCCATGTCACAAAATTGGTAAACATAGTTATTATTAGTAGGGAAAGGTTGGGGAAAAAAAGGTCTAAACAAGACAGGTAGAGAAAAATCAAAGCTTTATAGATTATTTTAATGACTTTTAAAAAGATCACATAAACACATAAATACATTCACACATACATACATAGAATTTGTCCTCAAACATTTGACTAGTACTAATAAAATAATTGTGTGATTGATATAGTATGACAGTATGATGTAAGTCAACAGAAGCTTTGGAGATCCTTGCTGAGACTCAGCTAAAGCAAGAACATAAACACTGAATTCCCAATGATTAACAGAGGTCACCTAACAACAACAATAAAACAATTTAGAAAATCGAATAGGCAGTAGACACAAGTTATGAAAATATGTGATAATATATAAGAAAGGTAGCCACACAAGGGGGTCATATCTTCCTACTACCCCAGAATATCAGATGCCTACTAATTCAGTGAGCACTGTTTTAAACTGAAGAACTTTTTAATTACAGGACAGACTTTATTCTTGTATGGGTAATGAATGGAAAATCAGATGGTGCTTATTCAATTCAATATATACCTACTTTATTCTCTAAATTCTTTGTTCTCCTACTAGAATAAAAAACTAATGACTTTGTTCTCCTATTAGAATAAAAAACTAATGACTTTTCTGCTGCAAAATTATATGCAGATACATTGTGATATGGTTTAGCTGTGTCTCCACCCAAATCTCATCTTGGATTGTCGCTCCCATAATCCCTACAAGTGGCAGGAGGGACCCAGTGGGATGTAATTGAATTATGGGGGTGGGTTTTTCCCATGCTGTTCTCATGAGAGTAAATAAGTCTCACAAGACCTGATGGTTTTATAAATGGCAGTTCCCCTGCAGATGGTCTCTTGCCTGTCACCAAGTAAGACATGACTTTGCTCCTCCTTCACCTTCTGCCATGATTGTGAGGCCTCCCAACCATGTGGAATTGTGAGTCCATTAAACCTGTTTTTCTTTATAAATTACCCAGTCTTGGGTATTTCTTCACAGCAGTATGAAAATAGACTAATATAGTAAATTAGTACTGGTAAAGTGGAGTACTGTTATTAAGATACCTGAAAATGTGGAATTGACTTTGGAACTGGGTAACAGGCAGAGGATGTAACAGTTTGGAGAGCTCAGACAAAGACAGGAAGATGTGGGATAATTTGGAGCTTCCTAGAGACTTGTTGAATGATGTTGACCAAAAAGTCTAGGCTGAGGTGGTCTCAGATGGAGATGAGGAACTTATTGGGAACTGGAGCAAAGGAAATTATTGCTATGTTTTAGCAAAGAGACTGGCAGCATTTTATGCCTGCTCTACAGATCTGTGGAACATTGAACTTGAGAGAGATGATTTAGAGTATCTGGTGAAAGAAACTTCTAAGCAGCAAAGTGTTCAAGACGTGACTTGTGTGCTCTTAAAAGCATTCAGTTTTATTCATTTATAAAGATACAGTTTGGAATTGGAACTTATGTTTAAAATGGAAGCAGAGCATAAAAGTTCAGAAAATTTTCAGCCTGACAATGCAATAGAAAAGAAAAACCCTTGTCCTGAGGAGAAATTCAAGCCAGCTGAAGAAATTTGCATAGGTAATGAGGACCCAAAGGTTAACTGCCAGGACAACGAGGAAAATGTCTCCAGAGCATGTCAGACATCTTCACAACAGCACTTCCTATCACAAGCCAGGAGGCCTAGGAGGAAAAAATGTTTTTGTGGGCTGAGCCCTGGGTCTTGCTGTTTGTGCAGTCTCAGGACTCAGGTGTCTTGCATCCTAGCTGTGGCTAAAAGGGGCAAATGTACAGCTCAGGTCGTTGCTTCAGAGGGTGCAAGCCCCAAACCTTGGTGGCTTACATGTAGTGTTGAGCCCGTGGGTGCAAAGAAGTCAAGTATTGAGGTTTGGAAACCTCTACCTAGATTTCAGAGGATGTATGAAAACACCTGAATGTCCAGGCAGAGGTGTGCTGCAGGGACAGAACCCTCATGGAGAACTTCTGCTAGGGCAGTGCAGAAAGAAAATGTGAGTGGGAGCCCCCACACAGAGTCTCCACTGGGGCACTACCTAGTGGAGCTGTGAGAAGAGGGCCACTGTCCTCCAGACACCAGAATGGTAGATCCACTGACAGCTTCCACCATGCACCTGGAAAAGCCACAGACACTTAACATCAGCCCATGAAAGCAGCCAGGAGGGAAGCGGCTGTACCCTGCAAAGCCACAGAGGCAGAGCTGCCCAAGACCATGGGAACCTTCCTCTTACATCAGCATGACCTGGATGTAAAACATGGAGTCAAAGGAGATCATTTTGGAGCTTTAAGATTTGACTGCCCCACTGTATTTCAGATTTGCATGGGGCCTGTAGACCCTTCGTTTTGGCCAATTTCTCCCATTTGGAACAGATATATTTACCCAATGCCTGCACCCCCACGGAATCTAGGAAGTACCCACCTTGCTTTTGATTTTATAGGCTCATAGGCAGAAAGGATTTGCCTTGTCTCAGATGAGACTTTGGACTGTGGACTTTTGAGTTAATGCTGAAATGAGTTAAGACTTTGGGGAACTGCTGGGAAGGCATAATTGATTTTGAAATGTGAGGGCATGAGATTTGGGAGGGGCCAGGGATATGGTTTGGCTGTGTCCCCACCCAAATCTCATCTTGAATTCTAGCTCCCATAATCCCCATGTGTCATGGGAGACACCCAGTGGGAGGTAATTGAATCATGGGGACAGGTTTTTCTCATGGTGTTCTCATATAGTGAATAAGTGTCATGAGACCTCATGGTTTTATAAAGGCAGTTCCCCTGCACATGCTCTCTTGCCTGCCACCATGTAAGACATGCCTTTGCTCCTCCTTCGTCTTTCTGACATGAATGTGAGGCCTCCCCAGCCATATGTAACTGTGAATGCATTAAACCTCTTTTTCTTTATAAATCACCCAGTCTCTAGTATTTCTTCAAAGCAGTATGAAAATGGAAACATTGTGAAGACACATCTAAATAAAGTACAGCGACAATGTCTTTTTAATAGATGATTCCCCAAATCCTTCCACCATTAGGTATAAAATAGTTCAGAATGTTTAGGTTCTCCAGCGACTAGGCCTATATTTTTCCTTTACCTCATGATTTTCATAAAAATGTTGCATACTAAAAGGGGTAATGGAAGTATATTATTTTAAATAATTTCTCAAGATGTATTTTATTTCTTTACAAATTCATGGTGATATTTACTTGTAAAATATCATTCAGTAGCTTTGCATGATTTTGCTGATTATATTTAATACTGTCCATTGTTCAATATACATCTAGACCTTACATGCAATATAAAGGATATAAACCATTTGATTGGGAAAGGTCAAAGGCAAAAATAATTTCCAATGACCTTTTCTTTTCTTTGGAAAGGTTCAGGATCTAATATCAAATATGCTGGGATATAGAAGCTTTACATACAGCATTTGTGAATGGTCAGTGTAAGCAGGCTTAAGCTGGTAGGTGAGATGAAAAACAAGTGGAATGTCCCTGAAAATTCAAATCAAAACAAAGTTGAATCTTTCGAAGAAGACATTTTTACCTTCAAGTATTCTAAATCAGAGGTAAGGATAAAGCAATAAATGACCCACTTTTCAAAGATCTATACATTCCGGGCTATAAAAAGGGTCCAAAAGGAATTTCATCTCTTTCTAAAAGCATAAAACTCTACTATAGCAACATGCTGAGCAAATAGGCTTGATTTATAAAAGCAGAGCCTTCTCATTGAATAGTTAAAAGATAACAATTTAGTCTCACACTTTTCCCATGATAAAAGCAAGATAGGATTTTCCTTTGATTTCTTTTTCCTCCAGTTAATTTTGTGTGGTTTGATCTGTTGGTACCTTCACTGAAAATGTCAGTGACAACATACATGCCTCTGCCGAAGTAATTTTCAAGCAATGAAACTGCATGTAAAATTTGGTTTTATTTTCCTTTGAATTTCAAAAAGAATTAAGTATTTTTGACAGGAGGAAAGACTCCCTTCCCCCCAATCCCTGTAGTAATGCCATTGCAACAAGGTACAATCTCTAATTGTAAGGTATTAAATGTCATTGTAAGGTATTAAATATCATTAATACTTCAAACAAGTTTCCTGGGGTGAAGAATTCAAAGGAAAATCTGATGGCTTATATTTGGAATGTATACCCTCTATTTTGATTAAATCCCAGATAATTTTATTTGCCTATTTGTATAGACTGAATGTTTGTATCTCCCAAAATTGATCTATTGAAAACTAATTCCAAATATGATAGTGTCAGGAGGTAAAGCCTTTGGGAGCTGATTAGGTCATGAGGAAAGAGCTCTCATTAATGGGATTAGTGCCCTTATAAAAGAGGCTCCAGAAAACTCCCTTCCCTCCTTCTGTGATACGAGGATACAATGAAAAGATGGTCACCTGTGAAGAATGAAGCAAGCCCTCACTAGAAATGGAATCTTGTACTTCCTAGTCTTCCGAATTGAAAGAAATAAACTTTTATTGTTTTTAAGCCACTCAGTTAATAATATTTTATTATCATTGCCCAAATGGACAAAAATACCATGTAACAATATTTGGTCACATTTTAGTCTATTTATTCTATATGAACAAGCAGACTTCCGGGAAATGAGAGTAATTACAAAGAATCAAGGTAAGTAGCACAAAGCAATAAAACTCAAATCCTTGACTTGGAGTTAAATTTCATGGTGTGACTCAGAGAACAAAGATAAATACAATTTTAATCATATTGTTATAACTATCGATCAGTAGAGACAAGCTATATGAACATCACTGATGTATAGTTTTTCTCCTTTCATTTTAGTTCTTCACTCTTGTGTAATTTCTCCTCAGAAATAAAAGTGTCAGCATTTGATATGACATATTAATATCTATGGGGAAAAAGTAAAGAAAAACAATGCTATGAACCAAACATTTGTGCAGAATAATATGAAAATAAAAATAACAAGAACAAAAAGAGACTTGCTTCTTTGGAAGGCTTCTTATTTCTTGAGTTTTTAACATTGGGAAAAGAAACACAAAAGGATTCTGAAAGTCATCTATACCACAAGAGAAGATTAGTAACCTGTGTACAGACTGATTTTTAAATGAGAACAAGACATTTGGATATATCTAGGCCCAGAAGGCAAAGTAATAGTTTTGTAAACATACTCTGATTTTAAGTGCAGCATAATCACATAATTTTCAACTGAATGCAATGTGTATTGTTGTCATATAGACCCTGCAAATACCATAATGCCTCACTTGGCTGATAATGTTCCAAATAAATAGATTTTGAATATCGACACCTTTTGAGAAACAAACTTTTGAAAAATATAGCTATTCTAATAAAACATTTGTCTTATATATTACTTTATTTCCTATATCATTAAAATGTAAAAGCCGAATACACATATATAATTGGCTCCAGCTTACTCCAGTTTCATCTTGAACTACTTTTCTCTGACTCTTTAAATTAGTCACTTTGTAATTTTTTCAATTCCTTTAGCTAAGCCAATCCACTTTGAACCCGACATTCTCCTTTGCATTGCGAATTTCTTGCATCCCTGTGTACTCAACATCTCTGCCCACCTCAACAGACACACACACACACACACACACACACACACACACACACACATCTAAGGCTGGCTAAATTTTTTCTTTTTTAAATATCAGCTTATACATTTCTCAAGGAAGCATTCCCTGTGTCCCCTACTGCTCCACCAAATTATTCTACTTAATGAATTCTTCCACTATGCATTCTTAAAATACTTAGTAGCAATATCTATAATCATGATCAAAGAAGTTCATGTAATTGATTCTAGATTCTAGATTCCTTGTGAGCAGGAACCATGTCTGTCTTGTTCAATGCTGTACGCCTTATGTATAACACAATGGTGAGCACATGGTAATTGCTTGTTAAGTAATTTCTAAATGAAAACTGAACCCATACAGTTATGCAAAAAATACCACTTGAGGTAATTTTTTGCATGATAACATAGTGGTATTTCTTGTTCAAGATCCATAAGGCAGTGAGATTGTTAGTGTCCACTTACATATATGTATATATAGTCACAAACACCATTGGATTGTGAGAGGAATAGAACTTTGCAAAACGTTATAGTAAATTTTGCTTGGACGTCAGATTTCCTTTTTTCTTCTTGACCATTTAGTGTCCACTAATTACATATGTGTGCATGTCTATTTAGTTTATTCAGTTTACCAGACACTAAACTAAATAGAGATAAAATATGTGTCTCTATATATAATATATATAATTACTGATTCATTATATATATAAAATGACTCAGTAACTCTGCTTATCTTTCATCAATTTTGAATTTGCCATTGTAGTACACAATAGGACAAATCTTTTAAATCTTATTTTTATGATTAATTACAAGTCAATGATTTATAGTCTGAGGTGAGCTCTACTGTGGTGCATACACATTAGCAGAAAAATTAATACCACGTGGGATCTTCTTTTTTTTTTTCTAATTGTGTAGAGAGCTGATCATGACAATCTTTGATTTGGTCAGGGGGAAATTTCTGCAAGTGCTTCAATTCTCTAATGACTGTGTACAAGAAACAGTCTTGGACTTGATGAACCTTCAAAATATGTATCATCTCCAAGACTATATTTTCTAGATGAATTTTAGTGGTGAATTCTTTCAAATAAATTGAAATGTTGATACTCTGGTTTCTCTTCACATCGTATTAATCTTTTACTAAATTGAATCTTTTACTAAACTGAAATGTTAACCCTCCAAGGAGCATTTACTTCCAAAGTTCATCAATAAATACATCAATGCCTTGTAAAGAAAGCAACATTCATTTAACCAAGGCAAAAATGATACAAAGTTGAAGCTTATAAAGTCAGGTAGTAGAAGTTATGGATCTTCTAGCCTTTGTAACATGAGGGCAGAGGGCTTCTAGAATTTGCCTGATTTGTGGCTGATAAAGAGCAGCGAGGGGCTTGGATTGTCTTCTGGACTTTTAAGACCTCACTGAATGATGAACACACACTACCAGAATCAAAGGATGGTTTTTGTCAGACAGCAGGACTAGACCAGACAGTAAAGCTACAATTAAGTTTCATGCATGCTGGGAAATCCAGTTTTTCCGTATGAAAGTGGTCTGTAGGTAAAGAAACTGAAGAAAACAAAGGACCACCAGAAAATAAGAAAATAATGTATTGAGTAGCTTCATGTTTTATGCATTGTGTTACTTGCTTATTTAGGTTATCTTGTTTAATGCTGATATTGATCCCAGACCATAAGTACCTTTTATTTTACTGATGGAAAAACTGAGGCTCAAAGAGATGACATAAAACTAATGCTGCATCATACATCATAGAAAGAGGGACCATTTGAATCAAGATAAAGCTGACTCGAAAGTTGTTCCATGGAATAGTTATAAAGTAATATCTCTTAATACCGTGAGTCATAAGGGCCAACATCTTCTCCTTAATCCTTATAGCACTCTTTTGTATAATGTAAGATGTCATTAAGGCTTGTCTACAAAGTTTCTGTCTTCTAGATTCTGGGGTGAGATCGCCCTTATGGACACATGAAATCAGTAATCTTCCCTAAATCCTCAACGATTTATCAGGAGGATAATTTTATCATCTCCATTTTATAGATTAAGACAGTGAAGCAGAGGTAAGTAAAGTGATCAAAGACCTATAACAGTGGAGATCCCAGTGAGAAGCAGTATTTTGTTTTTTTTCCTTTTATAATGATGCCTTGTATGCATAGCTACTGGAGGCATAAAATGTTCCAGACATTCCTTGTCTTTACCTCTAACCTATAAGAAAAGCCACAAGCATAATAATCCACTAACTTCAGTGCTTTTTGGACGTTGAACCTCTCCAGAAACACGTTGGAAATGGAGAGAGGATCCTAGTTGTGACACAAAAGACCACTGTACTTCATTGACTTGTCAGAGAAAAAGAATATTGTAACATGTTACAGTAAATTTTGCTTGGACGTCACATTTCCTCTTTTCCTTCTTGCCTATTTCTTATCTCTGCGTTTCCTTTTACACAGCTCCAGAAACCCAGTGCTTTCATGCCACCTGTCAACAACTCAAGGCGTATATTTACAACTGCGGTTCCTACACATATCTCATGTTCCAAAAATACTTCACCTTCCTTCTTCTCTAGTGCCAATAATTAAACCCTGGTTTCTTTAGTATAGCTCGGCTAGATGTTAGAAAAGCAATCGGACTCAATAAAGTCAATATATAAGCAGTGCCCATGTACTCTGAAATTATTGTACTCTGAAAGGCACACATCAATACATCACATGGATTCTATTGTTGAAGAGCTTACACGTTGTCTAGGGAGTCAAGGGGACAAATGAGGAAAGTTAAAAAATAAAAGATTTAAGTAAAAGTTCAAGATAATAGATAATGAGACATAAGTACGCAATTAACCACCATGTGAAGTGTAGTTGCCATAGAAGTTCAGAGAGAACAATGGATTAGAGCAAAGAAGGTGTGATGGAACACAAACGATTGCACCTAGATCACAATCAAAATGTCATTGAAATAATAATGAGCTAAAAATTTTTCATAATGTGAATATTAATCCTCAAAAGGTTGACAATTGATCATTATCCTGAACTTCATAATGCTATTCACCCAACATCTATTTTTAAATAAATAGACTCTCCAATAAAACATATTTAGTCTCAAAATATAATTACAAGTATGACCAATAATGGTTAAATATTCATGTCACGAACCATGAAAAAAAAGAAAAAACTCTCATAAAACTACTAAGTAAAATGCACTGAAAATCGGCAAGAATTTGAGGGCAATGTGTAAAAGTGAAATATTTGTGTTAGGATGGAGAAATTAATGGTGACCTTTTTTCAAACTTCAATTTTATATTATTGATACTGCATGTATGCACATTTCAACTTTGTTCCCACTGCTTCCTTAAACACATACACACACGCTCATTTCTCTAAATTAAATGCGATATATTAATGTAATGCTACAGGAAGAGGGGGTGGTGCAACTCAAGAGTTCTGTCAGTCATTCTCACAGCTAGAAAGAGCACGCACAGCTCAAGTAGGGTGATGCGCTGTTCGTGACTAATGCTTCAGATGACATCCCAGCTCCTTATGTGAAACAGCAGGCTTTTATATCCAGTTAAACAATATATTCATGTGAGACTGCTGTGATGTTGGGCGTAGAAGGCTGCAGGCTGTCTACTGCAGAGTTCAATGGTGCTTTGGGGAAGAAATTAGAATCTTAGTGCATGTCTAACTAGCTTAAGTAATTTCTTCCTTCACATCCCTCTCTTATGTGGATTTACATTAAGATATCTAAGTGTTTTACACAAAGATTTGTACAAGCACTTGTTCCCACTAGCTACTTACATTCAAAAATTTTGGTTTGGATATTGTTTCATCAGATTAATTTGAAATAAATACAGGTAACCTTGTGAATTTTGGATCTCATTGCCTGTGTGGAATGAACAGTGATTTAAATTTTCTTCCCTACACCTTTAAATGCTGTTTGTTTCCCATTGCAAAGGCACTGGAGTATCATATCAAAAACCAGCAGCAAGAAATGAAAAGCAGCAGGGACAAGCAGGTAACAAAATACAGAACTTACTCTGATAAATTAAAGGTCATACTCTGTTATCATGCATACTAAAGAGTTATTTTGTGCCAGTTGTGTAGCATTTAAGACAGAAGAATGGTTTAACAGCTACAAAAACAGGCAGAGCCATTGATAGACATCACTAAATACTGAGAATAAGAAAAATGAAAAGTAAGAGCAGCCCCACATTACCTTACAAATGGCATTTTGCCATTTTCCCAGATATGAGAATCTTGAGTACTTTCTAAATCATAATGTCATAACATTTAAACCTATCCGCTCTAATAAAAACCTAAATATATATTTTTTCTAAAGTGTCTTTTCCCAGTTCTTGTTTTTTGAAAATTGGAAAATTATGTGGTTCAGCTGAAATTTCTACACTCCATTATCAGTCTTGACTTTTAATCTAGTCTTCTTAATATTCAAATTGGTCCACGGAAAAAAAGATAGGTGAATGTTTCATACACAGTCTGATGTGGCCTATAAATGGAACTGCGAAAGTTCCCTATTCTCAAGTGGAAAAGAAAAGTCTGATTATTATGACATTCTGATCTTATTTTCAATGGACTTCAATCTCTCTCTTCCAGTTGTAACTGGAATGCAAGATTTTTTTTTCAATTAGAAAGATGAGGTTTGTCCATTGTATGCAAATAATTTAAGATTAAATGGTCTGGAATTGCAAAGGACCAAGAGTTGGATAAAGGTGCTGGATAATTGCTAGCCCCATTCAATTTTATAAAATGTAAAACCACTGAAGTAAAATAACCATTTTTTTCTTTTTGTAGATAAATTGAATACTATGGATATGAATTTAAATTCCTAAAATAACTTTCCCCTAATACAAGTTAATTTTCTCTACCACCAATTATTTCTTAAAAGTAATTATCCTGTGGTCAGAATCACTGAGGAAAGAGAACCCTTGATGGTTAAGATAATGAGCTCTAATTCCTAGGTTCAAATCTTGGCTTCAATATTGACTAGCTGGATCAGTAGCATAACATCTTTTAACCTCAGTTTTCTCATCTGTAAAACAGATATTTGTAAGAATAGTATCCATAATATATGCCAATCTCTTAGCACAATGCCTGGCACATGGTAAGCACTCAGTAAATATTAGCCCTTATATTGTAGTCATGTCATTGTTTATTCTCTAGTATGATGTGCCTTACACAATATATCTAAGAATGTGTACATCACAAAAAATATTTTTTTTACCCATCTGATCATAGAAAGTTGAAGTAAATGTGAAGAAGAGTGGAAAATAAATCTATTATCTTTCCCAGAATGAGTAATGGCCAAAGAGTGAGCCTTATTATGAGTGATATCCCGAACGTAGGTGCTTTATCAAAATCACTGCACTTTCTCCCAAGCAATGTCATCTTTATTCTCAGAGGTTTATGCATGCTACTTTTAAGTCAATGGGAACAACTGAAAAGAGGTCATTAGCTGGAAGAAACCACACAAAAAGAAAAAGCCAACAGCCCCTGCCCTGAGGGAAAACAGAATTCAGGGTACTACCATGTGTTCTGTGACAGCAGCATGGTGACAAAAGCTGTTCCCAGAATAAGAATACTTTGGATAGCAATGAAGTCTTAAAATGACATTTTAATCCATATATTAATGCTTCAAAGGGATCCACTTCAACTAGAATGCCTTAACTCTTCTTTTTGCCCAATAATGCTCCTGGCAAAGAAGGGCCACAGAAACCATGAACAGGAGTGGATGCTGCTTGATCCATTTTCTGCAAAATGAGATTTGGGGACTGGATGGCTTCTAAGCTGACCCTCAATGCTAATGGCCCATGGTCCCAGGTATCAGATGGTGTTGTTGTAAAGACAAGCATTAGGCCACCTTGTTAAAACATGGTGATTGTGGATTTTCATGAGGAAATTAATTTTAGAGCCATTAAAAATAAAATACCATAAATGTTTTTTAACTCAGCAAATATCTTTTAAAAAGCAGTGAAATATTTGGCTTGACATGTTCTTTTCTTCATCTCTCTCTGTTTTTAAAACTAACTTATGGTGCCTTGACAATTTTATGAAGAATTTCAGTTGGCATCTGTGGAGATCTTTATAATTAAGCCATTACATTTTTCTGAAACGTTTCATGTTTTAAGCTTGTCTTCTTTCCACTTTGTGCTATACAGACACACCCACCTCTTATCACTGAGACATTTCTCTGCATTCTTTCTACCCATTTACCACAGCATGTCATGGTTTTGACAGCCATCTTAAGAGGAGGAAGGCAGACATAGGTTAGATTTCAGGAGATTTTGGGGGTTTTTTTTTTTTTTTTTTTTTGAGACAGAGTCTCGCTCTGTCACCCAGGCTGGAGTGCAGTGGTGCGATCTTGGCTCACTGCAAGCTCCACCTCCCGAGTTCATGCCATTCTCCTGCCTCAGCCTCCCGAGTAGCTGGAACTACAGGCACCCGCCACCACACCCACCTAATTTTTTGTATTTTTAGTAGAGACGGGTTTTCACCGTGTTAGCCAGGGTGATTTCGATCTCCTGACCTTGCGATCTGCCCGCCTTGGCCTCCCAAAGTGCTGAGATTACAGGTGTGAGCCACTGCGCCTGGCCGAGATTTCAGTTTTATACAGAGTAGTTAAGACAATGAAGGACAAGGCATTATGATACTAGGAAATAGAGAAGTTTGTCTCCTCTTCATTTGAAATTTTTAGCACTAAAGAGATTAGATCAGAAAAATTTAAGAAGAAATCTGAGGACTTCAAGTCAATGGCTGCTCTTTGCAAGCCCTTTTTGTCCAAAGTGTATCAAAATAAACCTTTTCTTGGATTGCTGAAACACCTGTGATCATGGGATCAGTACTTTTGGAGCTATTTCTGGTTCAAGAGACATTCTCATGAGAGTTCCTTTCCAATCAAATCTGTCAGGGGCTGACTTAAAAACCTGTAAGTGGGCCAGACACGGTGGCTCACGCCTGTAATCCCAGCACTTTGGGAGGCCGAGGCGGGCGGATCACAAGGTCAGGAGATCGAGACCATCCCGGCTAAAACGGTGAAACCCCGTCTCTACTAAAAATACAAAAAATTATCCGGGCGTAGTGGCGGGCGCCTGTAGTCCCAGCTACTCGGGAGGCTGAGGCAGGAGAATGGCGTGAACCCGGGAGGCGGAGCTTGCAGTGAGCCGAGATCCCGCCACTGCACTCCAGCCTGGGCGACAGAGCGAGACTCCGTCTCAAAAAAAAAAAAAAAAAAAACCTGTAATTGGCTCAGTGTAACTCAGACTAAGTAGAGATCACCAATTAAAACCCAGGCATCCTAAATAATGCAGTAGGTACAGAGGAGAAATAGTTCATTGCATAAAATATATCAGAATAAAACTATAAATTTCTCTACTTCCTTCAGTATTTCTTCTTAAACTTAAGCTACCTGTTATTTCTAGTGATCTCTAAATGCAGAACAGAATGAAGACAAGATAAAAACTACAAAGATATCCTATCAAATTTGAGCTGATGCTCCATTACTAAGGACAATTGGAATTGATGCACACACATGTTCTTCTCCATCTTTTTTATAGCCCAATAGATCTACAGTTAGGCTGTGTCATATACAAGAAGAAGCCTGAACTAACTAGGCCGTATAACTCTGGCCTGATTAACACTTTATCTAATACTTTTTCTGAAGTCTTTTAATCTAAGTCTTGTTTTGACTTCATTGAAAATAAGCAGTTTGTTGGTAATCGCCACACAAGAACCCTACACATACTTAAAGACTGTTATGAGCTCAATTGTTTATCCCCCAAATTCATATGGTGAAGCCTTAACCCCTAAGACCTCAGAATGTGATGGTTTCTGGAAACAGAGACTTTAAGGAGGTGATTAAGTTAAAATGAGGCTGTTACGGTGGATCCTAATGCAATCTGACTGGTGTCCTTATAAGAGGAAGACTGGACACACAAAGAGACACAAGGGATGCACAGGCATAGAGGAAGGACTATGTGAAAACCCAGCAAGAAGGTGGACATCTGCAAGCAAAGGAAACAGGCCTCAGAAGGAATCAAACCTGCTGACTACTTGATTTTGGACTTCCAGCCTCCAGAACTGTGAGAGAATAAATTTCTCTCATTTAAGCTACCACTCTGTGGTATTTTGCTATGGCAGTCCTAGCAAACTAATACAGAGATAATTTAAACGTAGTTTGAAATAATATATTGTTAGTTTATTCACAGATCTTTCATATTAAGATGTGATAGTATTTTGCTGCCAGTTGCTAAAATAGTCTAAAAGCGAGTACTCATGGATTTGCACACAGAATAAAGCTCTGTGTTAATGTCAAAATCATGTCCATTTTAATTATTAATTTTAGTTAAAATGTATTTTGTCCTGTTCTGGTTTTGCTGCAAATTGTAATATTCTACATTACAGTCCTGGTAATTAGTACAGTTACCAAATAAACTCTATCCATGTACATTTTTTGCATGACTAAAACTATAAAATAATATTATTTTCATCATGAAATATACATGATTATATGTAGTTCCATTAATGTATATAGAACAACTTTTCCAAAAGGAACTACTTAACCTCTCATACCATTAAATGAATTTTCTTGAAGAAAACAAAGTATTTTCTACTACCATTTTCTTCACTTTGTGGCTCCTTATAACTTCCCTCCTTGTAACACCTGCTACGCGGATGACTGCAGCACTATTAAAAATTTACTGTCAGTGTTAGCTTTCCAAGTTATGGAAAAAGTCTCAGTGCAAAACAAACAATAAAAGCAACTCTGCATAAGACAAATCCTTACTTATGTTAATGATTACATGCGGTGACATTGTCTTATTTAAATATGCTTATATTTTCTTCAATTTGGAAACTACTGTGAGATCCCAAAAGATACACTGTGTCCACTTCAAAAACTCTAAAATTCTAAGTACCAAAGGACAAGCACATATTTATTCACACTAATTTTTATCCTTAGGAACTGCCTAAGAAATTTAAAAAAAAAAAAAGAAAAAGTGATTTTGAGAGATTATAATTAGTTTTGTGAGGCTTGCTAAATAGTCATGGCAAAAAAAAAAATAAAACAGCAACTTTCACTGTTAATTTGGAATGTTTATCTTCTACTCAAAACTGAACGAATGTCTTACATTGTTGTGCTTTTTCTTTGGTGCTTATCACTGAAGAAGAATGCCAATTCCAAGCCCAACTTGGACATATACCTCAGTAAAGCTGCCCTGCAGCAGGGCTGACCACCTCCACTGAAAATGCCTAGGCACAGTGAAGGCCCAGCAAGTGGATGACGGCATCAGCTGGTCCTAAAACAAAAAGACTTGAGTACTATATGGATGTAATGACCTCAAGATCCCCTATATTTCCTAAGAAATTAGACATAGCTTCATCATTTTCACCTATGAAGACAAACTTCAAAATATTTTTGGCCTGCTTTTTACTTAAAAAAATGCTTATGAAAAGGGAGTGGACAAACTTTGTCTATGCCTTTGTCTTCTGCTCTCTTTTGATGTTCCTGGAGCCTATACCCTTAGGAAGAACTTGATCTTGAATTACAATATCAGTGTCCTTCAAATTCCACTTCCCGTGTTATAGTAAGCAATGCCTGGACTGTCATGTCACCTAGCTTAGCTCCAGACATTTGCAGACATTTATTCTGGCCCCTTTAGACTATTCCCTGCACTTTAGCCAGAAAAATTATTTGAAATCATGTGTTATCTGCAACAGACTATGTGTTCCAAGGGGGTAGTGACCATTCCTGCACTCCATGCTGTATCCCTAGCATAAGTCCAGACACATAGCCGGTCTTAAATAAATATTTCTGAATAAATTACTGAATTCACTGGGATTACCTCTCCTCAGTCTCTTCTGTCTTCCACTATCCTTTGTTCTAACATGGCTTATCAATCATAATTAACCTCTAGAATACTTATCAGGCCTCACTCATGCTTCCAGTTTCTTTTCCATGATCCAGACTTACTGAATTTGCCTTCTATTCCTTTCAAATCCTGCTTTTTGCTGGCGAAAATAGGTAGTCACAGTAGTGCTCACTTTTTTTAATGCAGTAGAAAAAGAGAAGCAATTTGACATTAATATTTAGATATGGAGTTAACTTCCTTCTTGAAACTTGACATAATGACTCTCTGCTAATCATTTGTAGAGATAGTCAACAATTCTAGTTTAGGTAGGAAAATTGAGAATAAAAAAAAAGCATAGGCCTGTTAATCTCTTTTTAGGAAGAGTTTGAGCATTCTGATTAGAAACAGATGTCATATAAGCTCTTACACATAAATGAGTGCACTATTAGTTTGATATTTTATCGAGAAAGAAGCAACATGAAGAAAAATAGGCATATTTTATAGCAACTTGGTACTTAATAGAGTTTATGCCAAAGGAGGTCAGTGCAATGCATTTTCTTTTTTAGTTTTTGTTTGCACATTTTTTAAGGCCTGGAAAGTATGAGGGTATGAGTAGGATCCCAGCTGTGCCAATTAATGACACATATAACCATAGATGCTTTATTTGGCTAGTCTTTAAAATAAACAAAAAAATTATAGGTTGCCAGATTTTTTGAGGAAGAAATTTTCTTTGATGACTGAGCTAAGGGACCCCAACACAGTATATTATCAAGAGTACATCATTTTTAAAACATTTTATATTATCACTATAATTTAGGTAAAATTATAGTATATTAGCACTAGATGATGTATTCTTCATCAAAAATGAAAAGTTTCCTTTTAGTAGCCATAGAAGGAAGAGTTCCCAATTTAAATCTCACGAAATCTTGCTTTCTTAAATATGTAAAATATAACACAAGATTTATGGAAAAAGGTAGTCAAGTCTATTTGATTTTTATGGAGGCTAGAACATTCCAGATTCAAATATCATGAATAAACTCATAAACAAGTTACTATATCTTCTGTAAAATGGGGATAATTTATGAGGTTACTTTTAAGAATAATATGTAATGTCTGTAAAGTTGCTGGGAACAGTTTCTGGCACATATATATGATGGCTACTATTGTTTTTATAGATTACATAGAATCACAGATCCTTAGAAATAAAAACAACTTGAGCTAGAATCTGGTGTAATTCCCATCCAATGCAGGATGATTTGATAATCTTGACAAATTGGTCTCTTGAGCTCTATAGAATTAGAACAGAGTCTAAAAGTTACCATAGCCCAGGAAGAGTTGAAGTACATTATCTTATAAAACTACTCTTGTTCATGCTATTTCCTTTCTAAAGTAAATGTAAAAAGTATGGAAAGAGCATCATCACAAATTGTGAATACAATGGAGCTTCTCATTTTGGTTTGTTTTGGTTTGGCTATACATGAAATACCTTAATTCCATTCAGTCATTATGCTTAGTTTATCAAGTTAGTGGCCTTCTGGCATATTCAATACATACAACGGTAAAGTTCACAGTGTGAAACTTAAATGACAATACAATGAAAACACAAACAGATCTAATCCTAGATTTCCTATTGCAAGGGCAAGAAATTGAGAACACTGTAGTCAGGAAAATGTATATCAGGAAAATGAGATTTACAAACAATTTATATGTATAGAAACAAAACAATTAAAATCTGAAACAGACTCCAAAATGTAAAATATCTGACCTCACAGAAGGACTTTGAACCCTATTATACACCTTTCTTCATCCATGCAAATTCTATTTATTCTATTAGTCTACTTTGACGAGTCACTGAAGAATTGAGAGGCAGGAAAATATATGATGAAAGCAATTTTAAAAAGATAAACATCTTGGCTGCACACCAGATGGATTAAAATAATGGAGACTGGGGAGGAATATTTATTGTTTATAGCTGATAACAGGAAAAGAGGCCCAATTGTGTAAAAAGCCTTAGATCATTAAAATAATGTCAGCCCAAGAATAAATGCCTCAACAGGAATAAACTGAACACCTTATCATAATCACTAACTTAGACTGAGTCTAGTTTCTCCAGGTAAAATTCAGGCAGTAGTCTCAGCTCTACCAGTAGGCACTGCATATTACAGGAGGTGACAAATGTTCCAGATTGCCTCAAATATCTTGGTTTGTTCCTATTATATAGGAGTAACTATCAATAGTGCTTCTTTTTTTATCAGAATTGTGTCTGTTTGAATGATAATTTTTATGATCTTCTAATTATCGAATGCCACTGTGGAAATTTAAAAAAGAAAACTTTCCTGGATTGTTATAGCTTAAGCAAAAGGCTTGGGCAATCCCAACGTGCTTGGTGACAAAGGAAAAAAAAAACAGCTCTACTTTCAGGAAATCTGGCTATGTACATGCACATGACTTGGAGACCCAAGCACAGACTGTATTTCAGCCTCGACTCATCCCCTCCGCTGGGACTCTGGGGCAGCACCCGAGCTGTCTAACTCTACACAGTGCCCTGTCCACCAGCTAGCATGGTTTCTCTAATGTTCATTTACCAAATTTCAAATGAATTCCTTAGCACCCAGCCCACATTTTACTCTTCTGTGATATCAGCCTTGATTACTGAACACCATTCTGTTTTCTAAAATTGTACAGAACATATATTTTGTGCCACTCATTTGAACTATGTCTTTCTTAGTAATGTCTTCATAGTGTTTTGCTTGGAGTGGGTTTGGGGACAGAAGCGGTACTGCACTTAATGTCTGCCAGGGTCAGGAGGAACAATCTTAAGTTTTTGGAAAGGTTTGTCTCCATTTATGTGAACTGAAGTCTGACAGCCAAGAGAAAATAAATTTGTTCCCAGAAAGAAATACAAACTAATACGGGGAGGTTAGTGACTATTGCAGTTGCAGGATTGCAAAACTAAACTATTTTGACTAATAATATAGTGGAATTAACTTTTACTCAGCACTTACTACTTACCAGGTTTTTACCAATTTCTAACTGTTTTGAAATTAATAACTCATTTAAACATCAAACAACCTTATGAGGTAAGTACTGTCATTGTCCCCACTTTTTAGATTAGGAAAATGAGATTAAAGAACTTGGCAAAAAATTTCACATCTCATCAATGTTTGAACTAGGATTTGAACCCATGCAGTCTGGCTTTTGAATGTTCCCTCTGAACCTTCATGCTAACCTGCACACTTAACTTGCATTAAGTTTGTAGCATATGTCTGGTTTGATCATTTGATGTGTGGTATATATTCCTACAGCAATTTTAGTCATTAAGAGGAGTATTCAAGTTAGACTTGGCACTCACTTCTCCATCTAGACAAAGAATAACCAGCAGACAGGAAGAACACTATTATGAGAATGCTTCTAATCACAAAGGACCCCTAAACAGCCCTTACAGATCTGAATAGAAGAAGTAATAACCAGTGGTATCACAACCTTAGCACAACAAAGGTCTGAGCATCATCTGACCTGGTGAGGACCAACAATAACATTTTATGAATTATTTTTTAGGGGAATTAAGAATTATTTATTAGGCAGCATTGCATAATCCTACAAAGCACTGGAGTAGGCTTTAGAACCTATGGTGTTGGCAAGTAAATGAATCTCCCTGTGTTTGCTCATTTATCACAAGGAGATACTGTAAGCTGTCTTATAAAGATTCTGTGAGTGTTAATGCAATAATGTTTGTAAATAAGGTATGTAAAATAATTAGCATATTGCCCCATATAGAGTGCCCACTACAGACTGCATGTCTAACTTATTGTTTCGGATACTAGCTCTTACAAATAGGCAGGAATTTCAAAAGGTTCTATGAATGTTTGGAATTTTGGATGAGTTCTGTTACCTCTTCACCCCAATGCTGGCGCAACATGAATTTCCTTTATTGAATCAATTTGACAGATTTAACATTCTATTTGAACTCCATTTCCATAAAGCACAGGCCTCATCTAATTATCCCCAGGTCTGCCTTCTACTGTGATTGTGCTCATTCTGCCTTTCTTTTTTTACTAAAGCAAATCTTTTCATTTAAAAAAGCTTCCTTTTGCTTGTTTCGCCTCTAACCACAAAATGCACTCTCGTCCAAGTCCTCTGCCAACCTGAGCAATAAAAATAATAAATGAGACAACTGAAGACTCTACTTGGACCTTTAAAATGCTCCAGCGAAGGTGACCCTGAAAAATTATTATGGCATGTTATCAATTAGGTGACACTATCAAGAAAAATGAAACCAAAATATTCCTTTATTCTGCCTGATTTTATATCTCATAAATCCTGCTAAAATACTTCATTGGAAATGCATATGGTAATATCTAGACAGGCTTATGTTAGATATATTCTTTTTGGATTCTCAGTGGACATTTTACATATTAGGGCCACCAATATAGATAATATGCCCAAGATGACAAATTACTTCAATAATACTTAACATGAGGAAAGTCTGTCTCAACTTTGCGGGGAGGGGTAAACACAGCTGCTTTTTAACACAGTTAAATTCATAAAGCTAAAAACAAAACAGACTTTAAAATGTTTAAAAGTCTGTCTTTGAGAAATATTCTACCCATGAGGCTAAATTTGACACAAAATATTCATCATCATAATTTAAATTTTAATATATGGCCTATTTAAAGGCTTCATACTTCAAAAGGTTTTTACATTTATTTTGTCATTCTGTCTTAATTAAGAACCAACTCCAGTATTAGATTAAGTTACACCTTTGGATTGTTAGAAAAATTAGGTTGCTATTCTTCTGGAATAAATCTACTTTTCCAATAAACACATGAACATGTCAAAATTTTTTTTAACAACAAATGCATTTGACTTACAATTACACAAAGGCATTATGTTTAATTATTTTTTTCTGAAATGTTATATAGAATTGAGTAAAAGGTATTTTTAGGTGGAAACCATTTCTAAACTCTTATTTCAAAAAAAAAAATCTTATAGAATGAGAGTTCCAAATACCTTTCATTCAGCTTTCCTCCTGTTAATAATTAAATAACCATTAGGCAGTTATCAAAACCAAGAAAGTAACACTGATAATAAACTGTTGACTAAAGTATACACTTTATTTTGTTTTACCAGTTTTCAACTAATGTCCTTTTTCTATTGCAGGATCTAACCCAGCTCCCACATTGCATTAAACTGCCATGTTTCCTTTGTCCCTTCAGATGTGTCTTTTTTTGTAATTCGTGTAGTTAACACTTTTGAAGAATACTGGCCATTTTGTAAAATGTCCCTCAATTTTGGTTTGTCGTAGTTAGATGGAACTTATGGATTTTTGTTGAGAATATGAATACCAAAGAAGTGAAGAGCCTTTCTTAGCATGAAGGTTCATGAAGTCAATATTTTTTATTACTGGTGACATTTAACTTGATCACTTAAGGTGATCTGCTGAGTTTTTCTGAAGAAAGTTACTACTTTTACTTGGAGGAAATATTTTTAGACTACATAAATTACTAATTTCTACTGAAAACTTTTTCGCACTTATTTTGGTATCTATTAGGGAATCCCGACTTCAACAATTTTTACATTGGGATTCTAACGATGAATTCCTATTTCCATCATCCTTCTACATTATTAATTGTAATTTTTCTGTATGGGTGAGCTGTCTCTGCTTCCCTATTTATCTATCTGTATATCTTTCTTTCTATCTGTTCAGTTACTTGTTTATATCTCTATGGGTTCATAGATGTTTATTTTACTCTTTTGGTTATAATCAAATGACATATCTATTAGTTTTGTTGCTCAATTTGATCTAGTTCTGGCCCTTGGAAGTTTTTTCGGATTAGCTCTTACGCTCCTTTGTCATGCTTCTCTCTCAGGGGTCAATAAAGTATGCCCTACAGGTAAAATGTGTCCACTACTATCTATCTAATATTGTAAATAAAGATTTATTGGATCACAGCCACACCCATTCATTTTCCTATTAGCTATTGTTGCTTTTGAGCTATAATGGCAGAATTGAGTAATTGTGACCATGTGGTTCTCAAAGCCAAAGATATTTAATATTTGGCCTTCTATGATGAAAATTTCTTGATCTTTGCTCTAGGCGAATTTTCTTTTTTTAAATTATGAACTTTGAATAGTGCCCAAAATGTATTTAATTGTTATATCTGAGGTACTTTAGAATTCAGACTCTTGAATGTATATTTTTCCTATATTCTCCTAACTTCATTAGTTGTAATAATTTTGATGCTAGACATTTATTATTTTGTTTGAAGAAAACAAAATGGATTATCAGTATTCTATTGAGTTTAAAATACTAAATCATACAGAATAAGAAAATAATGGTGAGACAAAGTTGAAAAATTATCTAGTAAGAGGAGCGAAAGAGAAAAATTGTCCTCTTGCATGATATGTTTTAAAGTTTCCTAAATACATGCAAAGGCCTTTATTAACTTCTTCCCATAATAATGAACGGTAATATGGTAGTCTCCTCTTATTCTACAGTTTCAGTTACCCACAGTCGAATGCAGTCTGAAAATATTAAATGGAAAATTTTAGAAATAAGCAATTCATGCCATTTCAGTAAATGGCATGCAATTTAAATAATAAAGTTTTAAATTGCATGCCATTCTGAGTAGCAAGATAAAATCTCTGGCCATCCCACTCTGTCCCTCATGACACATGAATCATCCCGTTTTCTAGTGTATCCACGTTATATAGTCGGTTAGTCACTTATAAGTAGCCACCTGGGTTATCAAATCAACAGATCACAAGAAGAAGGGTGAGTATAGTACAATAAGAAATTTTGGGACAAGGAGAGAGAGAGGAAGAGGCCACATTCGCAGAACTTTTATTATGGCATATTGTTACGATTGTTCTATTTTATTACTAGTTATTGTCACTAATCTCTTATCATGTCTAATTTATACATTAAATTTTATCATAGGGATATATGTATAGGGAAACACATAGTATATATAGGTTTTGGTACTATCTGTGATTTCTGGCATCCAATGAGAGTCTTGGAATGTATTCCTCAATGGATACAGGGGGATTATTGTACTTTCCAGAGATGTTATATTGATAGCAATTTTTATCTTTATGATATTGGACACAGTTATTTCACCATCCCACTTCACAATCATGAGATGATTCACTGAGAGACCTTTCCAAATGAAACTCTGAAACCATGCATTTTGGTTTTAAGGATATTCATTATGTAATGCCCCAATGTTATAATTATATCAAGCATAGTATCAGTGCTTAAAATAAATTTATTAGAAGGATAATGGCATTCTTATGATCCTATTTTGGAGAACAATTGTTTTAAACTGGAAGTACAAAAGTTGGTCCTATTCTGTGAAAAAAAAATTATCTGAGCTAGTAAAGGCTACACCCAGAGGGCTATGTCAGTGGTTAGAAGGTTATTAGCAGGTTAGTAAAGGGCAGCCACATTTCATTGGAAGCATGTTTAATTAGGGGAGGAGGAGGTTTCTCCTCATATGTTCATTACACAGACTTTATTTTTTCCTCTAATATCTCAATATCCTCAAAGATCACCTAGAGCAGAGGTTCTGAATTCTAGGTAAATGGGCCTAAGGATGCAACCCTTAAACATAACATACATAATTTTGTATACAAATGTAGATAGATGTGTATTTTTCTAAAGATAGAATGTTCTACTTTATTGGATTCCTATGGAGGCAGAGATTCAAAGGAAGTTAAGAAAAACTGATCTAGATTAATGTCTAAAACTAAATACAGTTACCTAAGCTTTATACTCTACATAGGACCTTGACACCAGTGTATGATATTTTATCCTTTTTGATACTCTGCCTCCTCTTGACGGCACTTTCATTTGTTTATTAGAAGTTAAGTGACATTAAAACCAACTTATTCCTGGCCAGGCGCAGTGGCTCATGCCTGTAATCCCAGCACTTTGGGGGGCTGAGGCGGGTGGATCACGAGGTCAAGAGATCGCGACCATCCTGGTCAACGTGGTGAAACCCCATCCCTACTAAAATACAAAAATTAGCTGGGCATGGTGTTGTGAGGCTGAGGCATGAGAATTGTTTGAACCCAGGAAGTGGAGGTTGCAGTGAGCCAAATTCGGGCCACTGCACTCCAGCCCGGTGATAGAGCAAGACTCTGCCTCAAAAAACAAAACAAAACAACTTATTCTTGAGCTTACAAGATACGAAAAGTGGGTAGACAGTGGACAAATATAAATAGCATGAAAATCATGAGACTTGTTCATAGTTGACATTCAAATAATGACATTAAAGCTGAGAAGGAACAAATCACATAGTACAGTTTTAAAAATTGTTCATCATACACCAAAATACTAGCTATTATGTATTATCATTATAAAAATATATAAATAAATATGTCTGTGCTATTTAATAAAAGCTCCTGAAGATATAAGAACTCAGAGTGTTTGAGAAAGTATTACGAGAAAGGCTTGTCATTGAGTTGGGAATGTGACTTCTTCTTCCATTAAAGTCAGCTATTTATAAACTATAAACTATATGATAAAACAAAGATACTTTTAGGTAATAGTCAAATTATAAAAGCGACTGTTATAAAATATAAATATTAAAATCAACCAAATACTTGTAAATACCATCTGAAGTTTCCTAAAAACCTAATACTCTTTAATATGTCATTTTTTCCGGCCTTCAGTGCTTAGCTATTCCTATAACTTGTTTCCACCTCATTTCCTAAAAGCTAGATTTCTGCATTGTAGTGACAATTAATTTTTTATATCTGACATGATTAATTCATTTTTTGTAACCAGTAGTTAGATTCATTAACCTGATTACCCGTATCTTTGGTGAAAAGTCCTTCAAGACAATCTCAGCCAATATCTTTAGCCACACTTATTTAAAATCATGATAATGCTATTCTCTGTTTAACGTGACTACTTTTCAGGAGTGAGACCAGTATAACCCTTCATTATGATAAGAACTTAAATTGCTAAACAAATTGTATGTTGGAAACAATAATGGCAGACAAGAAGTTAAAGGGGGAAATTTTATGAAATTTTATGAAGGGCTGCTATTTGTATATTACAACATAAGATATACTTGGCAAAAGTTCTTAAACACAGTAATGATTAATAAACATTTCTCAATTTGATTTGATGGGTTGGTTTCTAAGTAATTTGTTTTCAGAATCTGAGAACTTTTAAAAGTAAAAAGTTCATTAAAAACTCGCAAAACAGAATAAATTTTTATTGATTAAATGTTTCAAAATATATTTAACTCATTTTTAAATAAGCTTAAGTTTAGCTTCAAATACGTAGGAAACTCATGAGTTGCTATCCTACTTTATTGAGCTCTTGTTTTCTGATAGTGATAATAAAGGCACCTATCCTCCCCACACAGTTGCAAAAAGGATTAACTTAAGTGAGAGACAAAAAAGTACTAGGAGAAATCGGGAAAGAAGAGGTTTGACTTACATGTCTCTATGTCATTCCCAATAGTATCCAAATAGCAGATACCCAACACGTATCTGAAGAAATTAATTTCTCAGATTATTTCAATTTTGTCAGCAATAAACATTTAATAATGCATTTGTTTTGGGGGCAAAAAATCAGCATATTCTGAAAGCAGAAAAAAAGGGCCTGTTTGGGTTTCACTGAGCTTTCAGAATTGCCTGGACAATTATCAAATTGGCCCTGTGATACTCTGTATGTTAGCTTCTACTACAAGAGAACTTTATGAAAGTCACTGATAGGTCTCATTGACAAGTTTCCTGGGATGGAACAAAGAACATTTCCATAACTACATAGCAATAATGGAACAAAAATGGCAACTTACAGACAAACTACAAGATTTCAATTTAAGGAATGAAGCAGTTAAGCCTAGTTGATATAATATCCTTTACTTCTGTTTTACCACAACTCTTAGAAAACATCTGCATTATCTGTTTGCCAACCTGTGTAGTTTAAATGATGCCAAAACCCATCAAACCATCAGAGAATCTTGCTCTCTCTTTTAACAGAAAATAAAAAAATGCTAACATGGTTGTGTGTCCAGAATTGGTGGGTTCTTGGTCTCACTGACTTCAAGAATGAAGCCTCGGACCCTAGCGCTGAGTGTTATAGTTCTTAAAGGCAGTGTGGACCCAAAGAGTGAGCAGCAGCAAGATTTATTGCAAACAGCAAAAGAACAAGGCTTCCACAACACGCAAGAGGACCCCAGCAGGTGGCCAGGGCTGGCTCGGGCAGCCTGCTTTTATTCTCTTATCTGGCCCCACCCACATCCTGCTGATCGGTCCATTTTACAGAGAGCCGATTGGTCTGTTTTTCAGAGAGCTGACTGGTCCGTTTTGAGAGGGTGCTGATTGGTACGTTTACAATCCCTGAGCTAGACACAAACGTTCTCCACCTCCCCACTAGATAAGCTAGATACAGAGTGCTGATTGGTGTATTTACAAACCCTGAGCTAGATACAGAGTGCTGATTGGTGTATTCACAATCCCTTAGGTAGACATAAAGGTTCTCCAAGTCCGCACCAGATCAGCTAGACACAGAGCGCAGATTGGTGCATTTACAAACCTTGAGCTAGATAGAGTGCCGATTGGTGTATTCACAATCCCTTAGCTAGACATAAAGATTCTCCAAGTCCCCACCAGATTAGTTAGATACAGAGTGCAGATTGGTGCATCCACAAACCCTGAGCTAGACACAAGGTGCTGATTGCTGTGTTTACAATCCCTTGGCTAGACATAAAGGTTCTCCAAGTCCCCACCAAACTCAGGAGCCCAGCTGGCTTCACCCAGCGTATCCCACACGGGGCGGCAGATGGAGCTGCCTGCCAGTCCGGCGCCATGCCCTTGCGCGGTGGATGAGACTGGGTGCCGCGGAGCAGGGGGCCGCACAGGAGCCCGTGGCGGGGGGACACTGGGGAGGGGAGGCTCAGGCATGGCGGACTGCAGGTTCCGAGCCCTGCCCCGCAGGGAGGCAGCTAAAGCCCAGTGAGAAATCGAGCGCAGTGCCGGTGGGCCGGCACTGATGGGGGACCCTGCGCACTCTCTGCATCTGCTGGCCCTGGTGCTAAGCCCATCACTGCCGGGGCCCACAGGGCCGGCCGGCCGCTGCAAGTGCAGGGCCCACCAAGCCCACGCTCACCAGGAACTCTAGGTGGCCTGCAAGCGCCGCACGCAGCCCCGGTTCCCGCCCGTGCCTCTCCCTCCACACCCCCCGCAGGCTGAGGGAACCGGCTCTGGCCTTGGCCATCCCAGGAAGGGGCTCCCACAGTGCAGTGGCAGGCTGAAGGGCTCCTCAAGCGTGGCTGAATGGGCGCCGAGGCCGAGGAGGCACCGAGAGCGAGGGAGGGCTGCTAGCACGCTGTCACCTTTTAGTTGCCTTACAGTAACTGTAAAAATTCTGATATTTAAAAAATCCAAGTCATTGATAAAGTAAGAACAAGTGAGAAGTCTGATAATATATCATTTCTTTCCATCTCCTTGGACACAATTTCTCAGAAGCTAAGCTTAGAATTTTAGGAAGACACATTCAATATACTACTTAATAAAAAAGTTCATTATGTTTCATCATTTGGAATAACCTCAAATTCCCAGCAAAATTGAACACTGTGAAAAAAGATAATTAAACAGGAAAAGTCAGAGTTTTAGACACTTGTTTAATTTACTCAGCTACTGTATTTGTGGCTTCAGATTTCTCAGAGTAAGATTTATTACAGAAAGTTAGTATTAGTAAACATTTAATGATTTCCAATGGAAACCAAACATTTATATATTGAAATAAATATTCATCTATGCATGTAAGTATATTTTGGCTAAAAACCACCAGAAAAAAAATGCTTTGACCTAGAAGTTTAAGGAGGGATGTTGATTTATTCAACAACTATTTATTAAGCACCTTCTGTGTGTCACACCCTGATTATTACGTCTTTTGTTAGACTCTACTCAAAATTGGTTATTTAAACAATAATTCAGATATTCCATATGGTTTATCAGTTTCCACAAGACTTATATTTTCACTATTTTACTTTTAGAGGAAGGAAAAAAATTAGTCAAACATTTCCCATATCTATACATTTAATGAGAACATGGGCAAGTCTTCTTTTAACAAACTTTTTCTCCCAAATGATTCTTAAGTATTCTAATGTTCTAATGGTCCATAATAATTTACTTAATTTGCTAATAAAGTTTCTCTAGTAAAGTTAGAAAATAATTAGTGCTTACTAACGAGTATTATTGATTCAAAACTTTAGTGAAAACAAAATATGGTTATTATAAGATAAATTATAATTTATCATATAAATTATAAATTCTATGGTTATTATAAGAAAATTTTTTTTATGTGTTACTATGTTTAAATACCCATAAGATAGTCTTGTGTGTATATGTGTTTGTGTGGGTCAGCAGAAATAGCAGACTGTGACATCGACTGATACAGTTAGGATCAATCATGTAAGTAATAACATTTAGTTATGAAGAATAGGCTATGCTATGTTTAAAGATGCATCTAATGATCTTTGTATATTTTACTTTATGTTTCCCAGACTTTATAAAGGAAGGTGCATAGCTTGTAGACAGCAGTCCCCAAGTGTAGTTTTTACTCTGCCACTAACGAGCATTGTGATCTTGAGCAAACCAGTTGGTCTCTTCAAGGTTCCATTTTGTTGTTTGATAAATGAAGGACGTGGAATAGAAGAACGTTGAAGTTCCTTCCCTCCTTCAAATGTAATGATCATGTAAGGTAGATTGCTTTAATTACATGATACTTTGAAAAATTAAATTAAACAAATATTAAAAAATCATTAAATTAACCAACACTTCAGTACCAACCCTGCAATCTCTAAATAATAGAGTGACTTAAATAAATAATAAATTACTGATGACTTGAATTAAAAATAAACTAATCTTAGATTAAGCTACACTAAAGGTTTGGAATTTAGGGTAATAATATGACTTCCTGAGCCCTGAAATATTTTACCAGATTTCATGGATGAAAACAGAGTTAAGGTTTAGATCTAATACTCATAAGCTCTTCCAGACAAATTGCATGATCACGAGAAAAGATTTACACCATCTCTATGGAGTCTTAGAGCATTTCTCTCTTTCTCTCAGATCCTCTTATCCCTAAAGGATCTCTTTATCTTACCACTCCAGACCACCATTTTCTATTTTCCTTAAACTTAACAGTAATCAAACTCGGCATTTTGAAAGTTAATACATTTTATCTGACATGTTCAGGTTTTCTGGATCCTCCTTATCTCCCAATCAGACTAATCTGTTGGCAAACATGAATAATAATGTCTTTGACTTCTTTGTTCCTTCCTACAACTGGTTTCCATTTCATTGGTACCTAATGCTGTCTGGTGACACACAGCAGCATTAGAACATTGAATAATTGCTGGTTAAAAGAGAGAGAGGGGGAGAGGCAGAGAAGAATGAGAGAGAGAGAGAGAGAGAGAGAGAGAGCGAGCCGAAAATGCGGGCATGTCTCTCCTTCTATTAAGTTGTTCATTAGCTTTTACAGTGTATTTTGCATTCATCTTGTTTATTTTCTCACATTCTACTTTAGTACTTTATCTTTTGATACCTGGATTGGTTAGTAGTTTCCTAAATAGTTTGTCTGTCTCTATCATTTCCTGCTAATCCTTCCTAAATGAATGCATGCTTGAAAAGACCTAAATCTAATTTGCTACTGATTTCACAATCTTACTGCACCACTCACTTCAAAATGGTCTCTTCTTCCTTGGAACGAGTTTTCCTTTTATATCTTATTCAGAAATTAGCCAAATATGATATGATAACTCTAGCACTTTCTCACATTTTATATTTCTAATCTTGAACTTTTTTTTGCCTATCTCTGTAACCAGACTGTAAATTTAGTATGTTACTTTTATGTAGTATATATCCTTTAAATATTTGTTGATTTAATATGTTAACTTGAGTATAAAACGAACATTTGACCTTGTGTAGAGTGTAAAAGAAATCTTTTGACACACTGTGATAGGAAAACAAATTCAAAAGTTTATTATCAAAGATAACTGTGATTTATCTGAAGCAATCTTTAGTCAGGGTAAGCAAGATGATGTTAGGCTTTGTGAATTAATGTTATGAGAAAGAAAGTCTATTTTTGTGGAGAGAGAAAATTTTCCCGCATAACTGTAATTAGGGACAAATCAGAGATTAATGATGCATTATATTCTAGAGCTTTAACTGATAAGCACCAAGAAATGGCTTTCTCAACTTTAAATGGTTTGTAAAATATTATCTCTGTACTTTGCTCTCTATATAGAAAATAATGGATACTAGGTCTTCTATTCAGAAAATTCAATATTTATTCTAAAATGTAAACTGTTGAGTTACAGGAAGATTTCATATACTCAAAAAGAGCATAAAATCTACCTCTACTAATTAGTTTCTCTATGAAAGCCTTCCAGGCAATTACAGAGCAGTACCATTGGTCAATGCTTTGGTTGCTTTTCATTAAAGGTATAGTGTTGCTACCAGATGAATTGCTTCATATAAAAGCACTTACCACAAAGACCTATAATGGAGGTTAAGTGCTATACTAATTACTAATTTCAATCCTTATTACCTATATTTTGCAGTACAGGCACTTTAAAGGAACCATATATAGTCTGCTGGTTCCCGCTTCTCTGAGTATAAGACTTGGTGGTAAAAGCTCTAATTTAGCTGTTCTTCTAATAAAAATAACCCCAAAAATTAATAAAAAGAGCCATACCACAAACTGACATAAAATACATATACTAGACTTTGCTACTGAACTCGTATTTACAATCACCGTGTCACAAAAACTTTAATCAAGGTGACACACTCTTCAAAATTTGTATTCAGCCATTATGGCACCGTTGCAGATGAAGTTCCAAGAGAAAAAGGTATTTGAAATTTTCATGGCTTATTTCCTACCTCAGCATCACACTGAAATGAACACAGAGCAGATGATTAATAAAACATCTGATGACAATGGTGACTCCCCTGAGTTCTTTATATATTGATCATTAACTTTTTATATGTATATATTGAAATTCTTCATATGTGCTTTATTTTCTTGAGGGCCGACTCTGTGTTTTACCTTGCGTATATCCTTCAGAATAATTGCAACTTTGCCCACTCTTGGTTTATTTATATTTTCTAAAATACATCTTGGTAAAAGGGCATTTAAAATCTCTGATTAAATGTTGAAAGTTGTATCTGAAATAACTATATGTAAAGATTTGCTTCTTATTACGATACTGCTCATTTCTATTTTTAAACATCTTTTACATTGTGTTTCTTATTCTGAACAATTATTTAATTGGCAAATAAGGTACTATATGTGTTAAACAAATATTAATCTAGAAAAATATGTACAAATATTTTTTTCAAATAATTAATAAGTACTGCCTCAATCTCAGCTACCAGATTCAAATTGGACATTAGTCTGCTACAAGAACACAGGAACCATATCTTTTTTGAACTATATTCAGTACATGGCATCTGGTATGTGCACAGTCAAATAAAATATAGTAAAATTGGGGCATATAGACATTTTTGAAAACATAAAATATTTACTAAAATGCAATGATGTTTGGCTAATATATCCTATATTTATTTTCTATCATCTATGCTTGGGTAAAGCATCCTGTATTTCTCTTTTACAGATACATTATGCATATTAATAAAGTCCAAGTATAGATATTTTAACTTAGCTTAACCCAGAATTTCCCAAACTAATGGGACTTTCCCTTTCTCACCATAAGTAGTAATAAGCTCTAGGTAAAGATACCAGTTTGGAAATTGCTGATTAAGTGTTAAAAGTTACTAAATAAAGACATTTTCAAGAATTAACTATGAACACAAAACCATGCCTCAAGAGGCAAATGCCACACTGCAATAGTAACAGGATTTATCATTTTGCACGTTCAGGTCCACTGTTCACAGCTGACAACATCCCATGAGCAAAGCCTAGACCTTACCCTACTATATATTTTCATGGCATCCAGTGTGATGACTTTCTCTCAGCAAATAGGCAGTGATTAATCCATATTTTAGGAAAATTACCAATACACCTTTCTGTTATTTTATTAAGGTTTTAGCTATTACTTTTAAAAGCACATTTTTTAGGCTGGGCATGGTGGCTCATGCCTGTAATCCCAGCACTTTGGGAGGCCGAGGCAGGAAGATCACTTAAGGTCAGGTGTTCAAGACCAGCCTGAGCAACATAGCGAGACCCCCATCTCTACAAAAAAATTTTAAAAATTAGCCAGGCATGGTGGTGTGCACCTGTAGTCCTAGCTACTAGAGAGGCCAAGGAAGGAGGATCCTGTGAGCCCAGGAGTTTGAGGTTACAGTGAGCTATGACTGCCACTACATCCAGTCTGGGCAAAAGAGTGAGACCTTGCTTCAAAAAAAAAAAAAAAGTTAAATTGATAAAGAATAAAAATTGAAATTGCACATTTATACTAGGATTTCAGATAATGCAATAATCTGGGATTAGCAGGGGCTATGTAACATTGCATGCATATTAAGTTACTTGGCTTTCAAATCTTCCATTACTTCACCTTATTGTATATGGTTCACATAATTGTAGTGTAAAATTGTGGTAATTCCCAAGACATCGATTCAGCAAATATTTACTGAATGCCTACTATTTGCCAGTATTATAACAGGCACTGGACATATTAATTTCCTTGCTTCCTAACTTTGTCATAGAGCAGTTTTTTTATTACATTTAATTCAGCAAATATTGGCAGAGTACTAGGCTTGTGGAATAGGTTTGAACTAGGGCTTGAAGATTTAGAATTCTATAAACCAGAAAAGGTCCAGAAGGGTATTATAGACATTTCATTCCACAATTGTGAGTCAGTACTTGGGATATTTGATATCAATTGAATACATTGGTTATGTCATTAAATTACTTCTTTCAAGAACCAAATAAGTGTGATAGAAGAATTTAAATATAAATTTTGATTATTATTTTTATTGGGTAAAATAGAAATGTATTTTTATACTTTTTCTTTATACTGTGTTATAAATTGTGTGCTTTGCAAAAAACATAGTTATATCTAAAAGGGGAAGAGAGAAATGAGACTGATGCTTTTAGTAATAGAGACGATAATGATTGCAGTAAAATATCTTTATACTTTTAATTTATATATTACTTAAAAAGCATATTTGTTTTAAAATTGAGGATATATACAACCACAAGTAACATTGTTTAAAATTTCTAATCTACCACCTTTGTTTCAATAACATAATATTGATAAAACTCATTCACAATAAACAAGATAATTTTTATTTTATCAATAACGGCTTGACATTTATTTTATAGACTTAAAATGAGTAGTGCTAGTGTCAAAGAATCCTCATGAAACTCTATGGTTATATGAAAGTGAAAACAAACTTCTTTTATGTACATGTTCTTATAACTGCTGATTTATGCTACTATTGTTTTCTCACTAGTTCTCTACTTATCTCACGGGATCCCTACACTTTAATGTGTTTCAGCTGTGCACTACCATCTGAGGAAGCGTTAGGTCTTATTTTCTCTCAGAAAAAAAAAGTGTTATAATATTCTTTCCCTTAGTTTTAAATTTTAACTTTTTTACTTTTGACAAAGCCTTTCCTTTGTTTAAATGCAAGGATCCAGTAAAAAGAGCTTTGATATGTTGTGCTTTTTATGTGTGCATTTTTCTGATTTCATTGATGTCCTGAATTTTGAAAACGATAATGTACACCTTCACGTTCTCCTATAAAATGGCATTTGTACACTGTAGCAAGAACAGTTTAGGACAGCATTACATTCACATGACTCTAAAGTCCAATAAATAGTTGATGGTTTCTCAGAAAACCACAATTTGGTGAAACGGATGCAAAACAGTGCTTTTTCTTCCAGTTTGTTTTTCATAAAATCTTCCCCCGATACATATTCACTTGCTTACCTGCAGGGTAGCGCTCGATCACTGGCCAGCTGTCCACCTGCAACGTGGCATTGCCACCACTCCTCGTGAAACGAACTACATGGTATTTCCCATCATTAATGATTGCATTGGATTCTTCAATGGCGATGTCATCTGTCCCAACATTAAACTTAACTCCAATTTTTCCCTGGTGCTGTAAGAGAGGAGGGGAAAAAAGAGTTGAATTAAGTTGACTAGTCACCATTTAATAAAGATTACATACAAGGTATTGTTTTAAAATGTGCTTTGGACAACAGCTGCTTTCCTCCAATTTTACTTCTGAAAAACTACATGTAGTAGAAGCAAGATTCTTGACATCTGGGTAAATTTAAGACATCTCTTTCATGGATAATTGATATTCCAAAAGGCACACTTTCAAGGGAATTGAGCCGCCTTCTTCCCAGAGGTTGTCACAGAGAAGGCGCACAGCTGCCTGCACAAAGGACATCCTTTTGTGTACTTTAACACAACCCCTTTAATCCACTCTCCCCATTTCACAAGAAAAACGGGGCTCCAAATTCTTACTTTTAATAACTGGTGAAATCAGAGCAATGATGTCTGTTTAGAGCCCATTGACAAATACTCACAATAGGGGAAATCATTCTAAAGGGTATGGGGCATTTAATGAGTGCAGTCCCTTAGTCAGTATTCACAAAACCATCAAATACTAACAGCTTGAAAGTTATTCAATGTTTTTATTTTATTGATGATGAAACATCAACATTTTATTGATGATAACACAGGAAGGTACAAGACTTGTTCAAGGACACATAATAGAGACGTACGAAAACTAAAATTCATTTCCCTTATTCTTAGATTATATCTAAGCTAAGTTGAAGCAAAGATACCGTTATCCAAAATGAACGCCCTCTTCACTTCTTCATATGCAAAGCCTCATTATGAATCATTCTAACTATAAAGTTGTTGCTGTTAACTTTAGAATTTCATAATATAAGGTGGCAAAGAGAAACATGTGCTATGTCCTCTGCCTCTGAGAAGCATTCTTTAACAGGACTGTCAACTCTACCATGAAATCAGTTGATTTCTAAAGCATGTGGATTTGTCCTTAATCAGTTGCACAGAATACCTGTGCTGTAGGCCCTTGTCAGAACACATAACCTCAAACTGTCTGTGGTTCACCCTTCTTCAAACCTCAGTTGAGAGAAATCACACGGAGGAAGAAGGGTTTAAAGTACACACAGTCCATCCTTTCCTGTAGAAGTTTTAAATCAGAATGTTAGAAACCTGAAGATTTGGGCCACATTCTCTTGACTCTTTGTGGGGTTCTCATCATTATTTGAACTAGGCAGCAGGAGTATGGAATCAGCTTACACTAAGAATCCTTACGGAAAATCTTTTTCAAAATTGTATTAATCAAAGGAAAATATTTGAGGATGTTATTTTGCAGTATTGCTCATTATCTCCTTCATGTAGAGATCCTAAAGGTTTCTGTTGGTTTTCTTCCCCCTGGGTTCTTATTGTACATAAAGATCTCTTTCTTATAAGTTAGCATGCTTACAATTTTTTTTGGTTTGATTAGCTTTAGGCTTGACGGATGGTTTAACTTTTTTAAAAAATCACATTTTAACACTATATACATGTTTGTTAAATAAAGATAACTTATTATGTCTCTTAAATGAGATTCTTTAAAATTTTTCTGTAGAGTTATATCACATGTGTTAAAAATGTATGTACTAAATTAATTACTGAAAATGAGCAAAAAGTAATTCTGTTAAAATAAGAAAATAATGCATGCTTACAAAAAGGTCTGAGCTAAAAAAAAATCTTTAAAAAAATCTCCATAAGTCTTTGAATAACGTTTGAATTTTCATTGGACTTTTGCTGTTTGTTTATTAGCTGAGTCAGTCTACACAATACTAAAATGCCTTACAATGACATGTATTTAAAAGTAAGGGTCATGAGAAATATGGTGGAAAATAATAAGTCCAGGGGAAAATATATACTAAAGTCTCTGCAGCTATTAAAATTACCCAGCCAGAAGTGATGGCACACATGTATAATCCCAGCAGTTTGGGAGGCCAAGGTGAAGAGGATTGTTCAAGCCCAGGAGTTGGAGACCAGCCTGGGAAACATAGCAAGATCTCGTCTTTACTATTAAAAAAAAAGAAAAAGAAAAAAAAAAGAAAATCTGGGCATGGTGGCACACACCTGTATTCCCAACTACTCAGGAGGCTGAGGTGGGAAGATCACTTGAGCCCCGGAGGCTGAGGCTGCAGTGAGCCATGACTGTGCACTGAACTCCTGCCTGGTTGACAGCGTAAGACCCTGTCTCAAAATAAATAAATATTTTAAAAATTACCCTATCTACATGGACCCTGAGTTTCCTAACAACCAAACACATACGTAGGGCTCTATACATTTTATAAATACTAACTCTGGTATTCTTCATAACAGTTCCATGAGGGAGATGCTATTTTATCTTCATTTTACAGATGAGAAAATTAAGGCACAGGGTGATTAAGCAATTTGGCTAAGGTCGCACAGCTGGAAAGAGAAAAGCTATGGTTCAGATCCACACAGTTAGGCTCCAGAGTCTGGTCCTTAATCATTACACCAGGCTGAGTTTAGGACTGTTGTGCCATCCTATAGCTGTAGCTAGCAGATTTGGTAAATCTAGCTGTTTTTACTACCTGTTTTATCTCTCCTGCTAGAATAGCATCACTAAGGGGCCTTGTATTGTTCTTTGAAGTTAGTAGACATGTATCAATCAATGTATGTTTAAAATAATTTTGGAATAAATTGTAAGCAACTGATATGTGGATATAATAGAATATTAAAATGATTCTTTTTGTTTCAGTTTCAGCTGAGATGTTAACATGATAACATAATAAGTCAAAAACACATTACTGTTTCCATCTTACAAAATGAAGCATAAAGTTACTTAAGCCAGTCTTGCAAAGGAGAACACTGAGAACTGCTTTTAGGGTCCTGAATTAATTACCTACTTCTAGTCCATCAAAATGCAGAAAAAGGCAAGAGGAGACTGACAATTAGAAGAGGATTTTTGGAGACAGTTGAGATGTGATGTGATTTCCACATACTGCAGGGTGGAAGTCTGCTTTTCCCTATCTCAAGTGCAGGAGAAAGGGACATTAGTGGAACATCTAAGAAAATTTGATATGTGTCTTCTGGGACTTGGTGGGTGGCAGCGGTCAAGGTAGTGAGCAAACTAGTATTTGACTATAACTGAGAAATCTTCAAGGGAAGAGACTGTGGCTTGCTGATGCCCAGTGGCCAAGCAAAGAGATATTGATGTACCAGGAGCCACTTGTGCATTAGGGTTTGTTAGGACAAAGGACACTTGTGGACCCTAGGTTAGAGTCTGTGTAGAATTGTATTGTATCCTGTTTAGCAGGGTTACTAAAGGGATTGGGCTGAGTGGTGAAGAAAACTGAGAAAAGAAAAGAAAAAAAAAAAAAGAACTTGGAATTGCAGTGATAGATGACCAGATGGTGAGGTGGGAATCCTAAATGACCATCTGAAGGAAGTGCATTTACTACCTCAATGGAATTGCAGGTAAATTCTAATAATGGGGTTAAGGTCTGTAAAGAACCAAATGCTTCCGAAAAGTGCCTCCTTAAGAACTTTAAGTATAGGCTAAGCTCAACTAGATGGCTACAATAATACTAGCCAAGTAAGGTCATTTCTGCCCTTTATGTCTTCTTTCTTCTGCTTCATCCCTGGAGGAATAAGAGAGGGAGAGGAATAGTGAAAGCCATGGAAACAATCGTGCTCCTCCCAGTGCAAGTGGGGGCTCCACTGTGGCTGAAGCAGGGATAATGAAGAGGCTTTAACTGACTTCTGCTATTACAGAGGAGTAAGCTGATTTTACTTTTTATGTCTAAAAGTGAACGGATGACCTTTTTACTATCCAAGAGGGAGCAAAGCACTGTTGAGACTCCCTGTGGACTTCCCTGGTGGTTAGAAAGAAATATTTTTACAGAACAAGTTTAATTCCTGTTACACCTTGGGAAGTACTTTCAACACAACAAGTACAGGAAGATATCTGTTACTCTAGGGTTGCCCATTGTTTTAGGGTCTCGTCTATTATAGACCTGGTTCTTATCCAGGATACACTGGAAAAAATTCTTGCAGTTTCCTACTTATTATGAAACTTATTATGGAAGTAGGCCATAAGAGCCTATTTTCATCAGAGTATTAATTATTAAGAAGGTCTAGATTCAGTGAATAGAAGCATTGCAATGTTAAAGGTGAAAAATGCACTAAACTCTGAAATAAGTCCCTTTAACTTAACCTTAAAACTTTCTGCAATATGAAATGCAAAATGCTCATTTTCTAGGTGCAGAAATCTCCAGATTTCATAGGATTTGGTTTTTTTGCAACACAATAAAATAAACAATTTAGAAACAATGAGCATCCGTGATGCTTGGAGAACATCCGACTTTTTTTTTTTTTAATTTTATATATATATTTTTTTATTATACTTTAATTTCTAGGGTACATGTGCACAACGTGCAGGTTTGTTACATATGTATACATGTGCCATGTTGGTGTGCTGCACCCATTAACTCGTCATTGACATTAGGTGTATCTCCTAACGCTATCCCTCCCCCCTCCCCCCACCCCACAACAGGCCCCGGTGTGTGATGTTCCCCTTCCTGTGTCCAAGTGTTCTCATATCATTTGACTTTTAAATGACGCCCATCTCTTCTTGGAGATGTTCAGTTGTTGCCTCAACTTCAAATGTCTTTGACATCTCATGGATTTAAACTCTAGAGTTAGCTAGAATGGAACTGAAGGCTATCAAAATAAGGGTTCAAACAACAGGCCCGACCCTAATTCAGACATTATCTACTTCACCCCAAGTTGCATCAGGCTTTGAAAAACAGTTTAATTATAAATGATCGCCAAAGAGTTTTCCCTGAAAACAATAAATTTAAAATACACATAAAGCACAAAATACTAATAACAAGCATATTTATAAGACCGGTATTTACTATTTAATTCAGAAACTATAGATATTCTTACAACACAACCATCTCATGTTTATAGGATAGCAAGTCATTTAAATTATATAAGCAATAAAACGTGCTAAACTTTCTTGCCAATGCGTAATTACAATTTAAAAGAATTCATTTCAAACTCTTATTCTCTGGGATTAAATATGATTGTCTTGGCAAATTCTCATGAATATTGCATTAGCAAAACCAGAAGTCATTTCACTGGACATGTCTTTATCTCCCTGTACATGTCTTGATCTCCCTGTACTGTATATTCCTTGAAATAGATAACTGGCTCAAATCATAATTTCAAAAATCTCTTATAAGAATATCAGTAACGAGGCATTTATAATTTAATGAAGACTTTCCATGGATTCATTAAATAAACAGTGACAATGGTAATTATTGATTTTTTTACAAAAGCTCATTTCTGAATAAAGATTATATTATTAAACCAAGTTAAAGGGAAACATCATGAAATATGACACTGGGAAGGTCCCTGAAATTTCTAGCAAGTGGCACCATAGTTTAATGCACTGTCTAATTCCATATGAAATAACATATGCACTTGTAAGTTTTATGTTTTAACTAAGATTAAGATTTAATGGTGTAATCAATATCTTGGGTATACTTCAAGCAAGATGTCTGCATGTTACAGATGCATATATAATATGTGCCTATGAAATGGATAAAGCAGAATACACGTAAGTAAAGATTTCGGTCTACATGTGGCATACAGACATGTTACATAAGATTTTAGTGCACTGTTTCCCCTCACCCCATTCTTGGATTGTTATATAGAAATGTTTGGCTCAACTATGCTCAGGAACAGAGACCAGTAACAAATAAAAATGTCTCTCTCTGTGTCTGTTTACTATACTCCTAGAGAGAAGGACCAAACATTGTGAGCAAGTGTGCAACTCAGGAGGGCATGTAGATTAGCAGGGAGCCCTGTTTACGTTCTGTAAACTTCTGTCATGCACCATAGTACAGTCCAGTACTCCAGGGCCCCACTTTGGACAGAACTCAACAATGTCTTTAAATGCTCTCTCTATGCTTGTACTCATTTCAGAATACAGAAAGACTCCCATAGTCCAAATCTACATTGTTGATTGAAACCAGAGTTGGGTGAATGGAATGTTTTGCTTCTCCAGAGACTAATCCTCACCAGGGAGCAAAGGTTTTAAGGCATGAAGGGGAGTCTGGAGCCTATAGTCACAGTTGTTGGACTATGCAACACTGCAGACAGTATCAGAGAGCCATCTGTTATCTCACCTAAAAACAAACACACTCAGATAATTGCTAATTTAGCCCAAACACTTTTTTTTTTTTTTGAGATGGAGTTTCACTCTTATTGCCCAGGCTGGAGTGCAATGGCACGATCTCAGCTCTCTGCAACCTTTGCTTCCTTTGTTCAAGTGATTCTCCTGCCTCAGCCTCCGAAGTAGCTGGGATTACAGGTGCATGCCACCACGCCCAGCTAATAATGTATTTTTGGTAGAGGCAGGGTTTTTCCATGTTGGTCAGGCTGGTCTCGAAATCCTGACCTCAGGTGATCTGCCCACCTTGGCCTCTCAGACTGCTGGGATTACACGTGTGAGCCACTGCCCCCAGCCACCCAAATACATTTCTAAGTGAATTACTTAGAGGCCCTCTTGGCTGGTAGAGACTCTGTTTACCAATTTAGATGGCCTATAATGGTAAGAAGTGGTTTTAATCTAGTTGTTTTAACCTGGCACTGAGATATACATGCCATCCTCTAACCCCCAAAAAGCAACACCACCACATCAAAAACAAGAAGTTCCTGCTGCCCTGTCTCCTATTTTCTCCATTAAATAGCGTCTGTTTAAAATTCATTCAGGTAACTAATAAAAAGTATGTAATATGCACCCAGCATTTTCCTACTACTGGGAGGAGAATAAAAACAGGTAAAGTCTGTTTTCTGCTCCTGGGAAAACTTTCAATCAAATTGGGAAGGTAAATCGTGCATGCAAATACTCATACCCACAAAAGAGTTGAGGGAGTGGTGGGGAAAAGCACAGGTGCATTGGGGGAAGCATCTGAAGGATCTCTGGAAGCCTCAAACTGCCATGGGAGCAAACCAGCATTTGGACAGCTCTAACACTACCAGCAGGTTCTAATGCAACTCCCAGGGACATAGAAGTTATGTTCTGTCTACCTTCTATCTCTCCTTTCAGGCCCCACATACCAGACTACTCACTATGTGCCAGGTATTGAGCTCTATACAATGTATCTCATCTAAAACTCCCAGCAGACCTGAAAGGTAAGTGCCATTGTCTCTATCTCCTTGGAAACTTTAATCTTGCTGAAATCACACAGCCAATAATTATGGGTACTGAAATATGACCAATTTGGTGGGGCATTCTAAAACTGAATAATGTCAGTTGTGTCAGTGTTCCAGGAAAATGTCTTGAAACTAAGGCACCCTTAGAGGATGAGTCAAGAGGAGGGTTACTACAGGGTGCATGGTTTTGTTTTTGGTTTTAGTTTTTTTTTTTTTTTTTTTTTTTTTTTTTTTTTTTTTTTTTTTTTTTTTTTTGGCTAGTTACATTTTGTAGCACTACACAATAAGGAATCAGAAGTGGGCAAGATATGTGGGCAATACCACCTCAGAAACATCTCATTTAGGAGTAATACATTTTTAAAAAACAGCCTTTTCATTTCCCCATCAAATCTTCATTAAGGATAGTGTATCTTTTCTAATATGTCTCCATCCTACAGGATGCTGTAGCTCCTTCAATGAGACTATATTCTGGCAGCGATATTAACTTCCTGGAGGCTTAAATTCATCTCTTGGTCCTAAGAATGTCTAATAAAATTTTCTAAGCCTGTGCCAGTCCTCCTCCACACACTGCCTTAGGTGTTAGTTTTTATATGCCCATTTCAACCCCTCAAACCTATTAAAAACAACTTTAGGGTAGGAAAAAAGCCTGGTGTATTCCTCATTGTATCCTTCACCACACTTCCCAGAATACCTTTCTTTACTTTTGCAAATTTCCAATATTCTTTCACATCAATTTTCTTTTTTTTAATTGAGATATAATTCACATATCATAACATTTGCCCTTTTAAAGTATATGGTTCAGTGGTTTTAGTATATTCACAAGGTTGTGCAACCATCACCATTATTTAATTTCAGAACATTTGCATCATGCTCCAATTTTCTTTTGATGAGATAATGCATACAAAATTCTTAGCACATTTAATGGCTACATAGTTCCTGTTAGCTATTAGCATTATTATTATTATTGCTACAATTATTGTTGTTATTCATCACTTTGAAAAACAATGTTTAGCTTCACCGTAGTTTGATGGAAGTTAATTAAAATATTGCTTCAATTATATAGACATTTCGGTTTTGCTAGAGGATACATTTTTAATGATTACAACTTGTGAAGCAGGGTATCTATTTTGTAAATGGGAAAGCTAAAGCTCAGAAAGGCTGAGACTTGGCCAAAGTCAGAGCATCTATCTATGACTTGGATCAAGAGAGGATATTCTAAAATCTACCTGTGCTCAACTGTAAGATAAGTGGTTCTCCCGTTGATTATGCTGAGGCAGAGCATGCTTGATTAGACAACATCCATGTCCCCTCCCATCTCAATATTATGGTTCTAGGGAAATCCTAAATGTAAGGCAAAGCAGTTCTCACGGAAAAAATTTAGATATTACTAGTTGAGTTTTTTGAAACACATTGAAGGTGCCTAAGTTTGAATTTGAGTCTCTCTTAGATTTCCTTCAAAATTTAAAAAAATAGAAAAACTCTAAGATTTTATTGTGTTTTTAAATCAGAGATTCTCCAATTTAGGAGGAGAAAGAGGACTTTGCATTAGGTTGAAGTATCAGTAATCTGTGAAGCCTTTTGTGAACCATGTATGTTTCTTCCCAAGAAAGTATAATCTCTGATGGAAGCGCTTGCCATTATTGGGAAGAGCCCCTGCCTTGTCAGGTATGTAGGATTTAGTGGTCGTAAAGTGAGAAAAAGGATGGACAGATCTTGAGCTCCAGTGATAACATCAAAACACTTCAGTGCTTCTATTTCCTCATTGTCTCTCCTTAGATGAAATTAAATAAAAAATCAAAACAATGTCAAGATGAATTTAGTCCACTAAGTGACTGGCTGCTGGATCTTTGAATGGGGTAATAATCTTGATATCGGTATTTTAAGATATTCTCAATTTTGTTTCACTAATAAAGCCAATACTGGATTATTCTTTACACAGTATTTGAGAAGACATTCTCAAACCATTATGAAGTTCTCCAGTGTGGCCATGGGTACAGACATATCATCAAGCCTTTTCGTGATACTTCCCCCTTCCAAATAGCATACGTTTGCAGATATCACGATAGCTGTAGAATAAAATAAAGCTACCTTAGCCTCTTGTGAATCAGAGTCATCTCATTGAGATAATTAATTCTGTATCTCCATCCACTGAGACAACAACTACTATGAAGTTGAAATAGTTGCCTTTAAATGTGTCCTTATGTGTAAAGAATGTCTTTTATTATTTTTCTCCCTGAATAATCAATGAGCAGAAATCAAATAGAACAAGAAAGAGGCATTGACTTGGTGGCCTATGGAACCTTCTTAATTTTTCACAGGTAATACTTTCCATTTGGATAGTTAGCCTAGTGGTCTGGCATCATAACAAATACTTTAGGTTGCTGTATGAAAATCTCAGCGTCACACTGAATTAAGTTAAGCCTTTTCCAAAGTGTAATGAGCTGATCAGATGTGTATTACTTGTTTTTGTTCATTTTTTTATATTTAAAAATTATTGTTGCTTTAAAGACCCTTGTTGGAATGTTAAATTACTTTTTCTTGTACAGTCACATTGTACAGTAATTCAGGAAACTATGGGCAATACATTGTGTTTCAGGTGCTGATTAAAACCACAATCTTTGTTTATTCTGCATCTGCCTGAATCCTTGTCTTTGGACCATTGCACTCTTTGATATTACCTCCACCAGGAACTGAACAGGAAAGGGGCATTCTATCAATTCTGCTAATTGTTGACATTTTTTATGTAAAAAGGTTTTCCTATAAAAGAGCTTTGGGATTATTTGTGGATTTCATTTACTTGTTATATCCCAGGATCATCATTTTCCAGGAGACCTGACTATATAATTACAATCTAACTCTAATGTTCCAAATTTCCATAGCACAAAGCCCAACATTTTTCAGACAAATAGACAGAACATCCTTGGATTGTAATTTTAGTCCTCTGCATGGCAAATGTAACCTTAGTAACTCGGTTATAGGTAAAACAAAATGAACCTTCGTATTTTAGAAAATCCTTAAAAGACGTGAAAACATATCAAGAGATTAATGTAATTATTTTCAGTGCTTCCATTGATATAAGCCATAAGCTACATACAGTAAACTGGGAATGGAAAGATCAGTTTGGAAGGAGCACTATTTTTTTAAATTCTATTTGTGAATCATGACTTGCAACCTAAAAACAAGAGTGAGGAAATGTTTTCAAGTGTGTTTGATGGACTGACTTCCTAATGATGCTATGTTAGTTTTCACAAGCCTCAAGAAGAGCCCTACCTTGAAATGCATCCCAAGAGAAAAGCTGACAGTGCTAACTTTTTTCTTTTCGTTTTCTCTTTCTTATTGACTTCTAGTCCAGGACTAGCTGTCCGACATCCTTAGGAAAAAAATGTGTGTATATGGGCATAGAAATGCATTTACCAATGAATATTTTCTAAAGAATCAGCAAAACTCTGTTATCCCTGAAGTGGTAAGTAATAATTCCTACAGCCATCAAAAATAAATCTATGTTCATGTGTGTGATTGTGGCACAACAGAGGAGAATATGGAATCTCTAAGGCAGAAATTCCTAATGATTATAACTTTTTTCATCTTCACAAAACAGTAATACCTCCACAAAAATGAAGTAATGCAGAAAAATATTTATCAAGTGCCTTTTAGCTGCAGTGAATTTTGTAAAACACCATACCACTCATCCCATGACTCAAAACTGATAAAATGTGTGTTGCTGGTTATATTTATATACATTTATTTTCCTCAATTGCATGGTTTTCTGGCATAAATGACACTAAAATTTTGGAACTACCATAACACATGAAGTTCAGTATTCACCAATATTTATGTACTTATTCAAAAACCACAGACTTTTTACTATACTCCTGGCACTCTGTTAAGTTCTGGATAAATATGGTTAACAAACCAGATGGTGCTGCTGTCATTATGAAGCTTAAGTCTCACATTATTCGTTACACATTAAAACTTACTGTAGCATATACAGCATGCTAAGTTTCAAGAAGGCAAAGAGTAAGGATAGCATGAGAGGAACTGAATAATTTAAGCAAAGTCTCCTTGAGAAGCTGAAGATGAGAAGAAATCAATAATGAACATTTAGCATTTTCCAGGCAGAGAAAACAGCATGTGCACATAGCCCAGGGAGGGATTGTACAAAGACAGATCCTTTTATGAACAAATGCAGACACAGATATAAATATGTGGACTCTTTATAGCTATTAAGATGTGCAAATTATATGTGAACATGTACAGGTATTCAAAATATTTGTATAAGATATAAAACTAGGTTATGGAATAATGCGTAACAAAAGTAAAATATATTATTTGCACAAATAGAGCAATTGAAAAATAGATGGTGAAGCACATTTAAAAAATTTTCCAATCAGAGAACAGAAAATTGTTGAATATATGTAGAACCTAACAGTATGCAACCTGACATTCATCTAATTGTTTATTCCTAAGTGTCATTCATCAATGTGCATTATGAAATGCAATTTATAAAAGACTTCCTGAATCAACAGGGACTCACATCTTTTTCAAAAGTCACTTACTTCTACAATGTCAAAAAAGATTCATCATTCTACGCTCATATTTCTAAACTAATGTAACATGTTTAGTTTCTTTGTGTGGTGGAATGTCTTGTTAACTTATTTATCCAGAGAGCCCTTTTATCTCAAGATGTAGTAAAGAGTTATCCATAAAATTTCTGCCTTAAGATTTATGTCTGAAATCACTTGACTGGTTTTTCAAGTACCCTCCTTAAATTGGTAGAAGAATGCAAAGTTTTCACCCTTGACCCTTTCACCTTCCTGTTCACTCAGAAGAGCAGATGAACAGGGTTTAATGCCTGTGTCCCAAAATGCAGTCTTCCAGGCAGTCAACCAATCACTTCAAATGAGACGAAGGATTCTCTATCCAATTCTACTTCCAGAAAAATTTTAAATAAATGAAGTTAAATGAGCATTTGCCCTGAAATTTGGCCAGGAATCGTGAAGCCAAAAACACGCGAAGTGCTCAAATTCAAGTAACTCATGGACGTTTTGAACTTGAGATAAAAGTTCACTTGTAACTTCTCCAGAGCAGTAACCACTGGAGGCTCTTTGAGGTCATCCCTTCCCATTGTTTGCCTGGAAAAGCAAGAGAATATTTTGAAGACAGTTGTGGACGTTTAGCTCAGTAAAGACAGCCGAAGGAATAAATACCTGGAGCAATGTCAACTTAGCAGCCATTGACCAAACAAACAAACAAACAAACACACTTTCTCTCTTACTGCTCCATCACACTAGCTTTTCATTTCCATAAATGTCTCATGTTCTGACCCATCTCAGGCCCATTGCTCTTCCTTCTGCCTGGTTAGCTGTTTCCTTGCCTTCCCCATCCCAAAATAATTGATACCCTATATTGTTTGGAGATAATTTTGAGAACTTAAGGATAGATTTGGGCATTGAATCTGCTGAATAAGGGATAGTGTTTGTGAAATATCATTTCGTGAAGCAAAAACTCATTAGTGGTCATCTACTGGAGTACAAAAGACATCTACTTAAAAGTCTGGGCTGACAATAGTTGAAAAGCAAGAGACATACTGGGAGGCCATTTCTCTTCTGATTAGCAGAATTATTTGGTGGACTCTGACTATTTCTGATAAATCTTTAAGTACTAAATATCATAGCAAGAAATATACTGTTGTGATCTTGCATTCCATTTATACACTTCCCCTGCCAAACATGTCCACTGTTTTAAAATAAACATGAACAAAACCTAATAGAGAAGGTAAAAATGCACTGAGAGATTAATCAGAAACATCATTCTAAGGCCAAGTGGAAACCATATGTAACTTATTCAGTGTTTGGTAATACCAGTGTCAGAGCTCTGAAATGAGTGTGGATATTCCAGAAGGGCAGGATTTGGCAGCAGATGCGTGATGATGATAATGATGATGATAGCCATCCTTCTTGCCATGTGTCAGACACTCCTTCTAAGCACTTTACAGGCAATAATACGTATGAATATATATGATTATTTTCATTTAAATGATGAGGAAGCTGAGCCTCAAAAGCTTGTCCTAAATCACATGGCTAATAAGTATCAGAGCTGTGATTTTTCAAGCAGTCCAATTCCAGATTTTGTGTGCTAAACTATACCATTGCTCCTCTGAGGAAGTCCAACATGCTTACAAGAGGTTGCAGCTTGTTTAGCTGTGGTATTAATAAGGCTCTTTGAAAAAGAGAGACACTAACATCCTCATTATTGTATATATCAAGTAAAACATCAAGTACTTTTCAGACCTCCACTCCTTTAATTCTCACAATAACTCATTTTGCCAGCCTACCAATCTCCATGTTGAGGATGTTTAAAACTCAAAGCAAGGAGGTACTTTTCTGAAGTCACGCAGCTAAAACATCAATCTAGTTACATTCAATCCAGGTCTATCTGGTTCCAAACTAAGAGCTTTCAACCACATCATGCTACTCCTTCTGCAGAGTCTTCATGATCCCCTAGAAGTAGTAGGGGCCAGATGAGAGTATCCTAGAGCTCTAGACGCTTACCATTTTAGGAGGTTTGTATACTGATAAGTTTTCCAAGATGGGGGTGGACAGACGCAGCAATTCCTCTTTCATGAGCATTAAATTAGTCCAGTTGTTTAGAACTGCTAGTAAGTGAAATATTAATCTCCATTAGGGCCAGAGCAGACTTTGTCATACTTCAAGAGCCAGAAATGGAAGTACTATCTTTTAGGTTTAATTGAGATTCTGGAGTGTCAGCCTATTTTCAGAGTCTGTAAGAGAGGAACACTCAGAGAAATAGCCAGTGTCTTTCCTCTACCCAACCCCTTCCCACCTAGTTTACATCCAGTTTTTCTCTAGTATGTTTTTTGTTTATAGCCAACAGATTTATTTAAATCATATTTATCATTGCTTGCTATTTTGAAAGATGTGCCTCAAGCTTCCAATCAAATCCAAAAGAATACATAATCATCAAAACAAGGTTAGTCATGGAGTTTTCTACTAAATAACATTTGTGACTGAAATAGGCAAGGAAATGAGAGATTTAGTTGTAGTTTCCCAAAGGTAATAAACCTAATATTTAAAAAGAAATAGTAATAACTTACCAGCAGCTCAGGTGTTCCATGTGTCATGATCAATAACCAAGTAAATATAGATCTGAATTTTGTAGCCACTTTGGTTGTATCAAAAAAGCCACTGCATGGTACTATTACATACATAGTTTATATGGTTTAGAAGAACCATATAAACCACCATTAACTATTCCTTTTATCATAATAATAAAAATAATAGGTGGAGTTGCTGATATATAAAATATGAATTGATCCATTAGAAGTAATTTTCTATTATAATTTTTCAACTTTCTTAGTCAATTTCAGATTATGATTAGAAATGTTAATGTTAATCTTGTTTCTCTACCATTTAACCCCTCTCTTAAAAACATAATGACCACTTCTTAGACCCTTTTCTACTCTCCTTCCATGTATATTTCAAGTTTTCTACTTATAATTTGTAATTATTTAAATTGTTTTATTTTTATCTTAGTTGTTTGAAATCAACCTCTACATTATTACCATCTTTTCTTTCTCCCCAAGCTTATAAGCATTGGTCTAGCATTTAATGATAACTTTTAATTTGGGATGATTATATCCAAGATGCTGCCCCAGAATGAGAGTTTTATGAATGCTTAATGCAAGGAATCATAAAGCTTATACCAGTGCTGCCCTGAAAAATTAACCAAAGAAAACCCCAAAACTCTTTCTCCTTAATCAAAGAATATGCTTTGATGTGAACAAAAGAGAGAAGAATATTTAATATCAGCTTTGGTTGCACTGCAATTAGCAATTAACAAGTAATAACCTATGATTAGTTCACAAACTCCAACAAATACACTTAATGACAGGTGACTAAGAGATGTGGGAAACATTTAAGTTAGGGCCAAGATGAACAAATGTGAACCTAGCACAATTTGGTTTGGTAACATTAAGCTTTTGATAAACTTTCCTAGTCAAAATTAAATTATTCCATATTACTTTGAAGTAATTATAATACAATTTTCTACTTTAATCAGCTGTCTCAAACTTTGTGATCACAAGTTATTTTATGCAAAAAAAACCCTAAAAGAAATTATGAAAGATTTTTCAAGAAAGATTTATAAACTTAATCTTTCAAAGTATCTCATAAATGTAAATGCATGCTTAGCATTTTTAATGGATTATTTACTCATCATTTAGCTTAAACATCATAATGTTTCCAATCTATGTTACAAGAGCTAAGCCATTTCAATGCTTTTTGAACAAGTTACTCTGTTGACATTGGCACAGACCACCAAAATGCACTGATTATGGAAGATATACGGTTAATGCATACAGTATCTGAGCATTGATAGAGCATCAAGGCAAAAGCAGGCAATACTTAAGTTCTCCAAATAAATACACAAAAAAGAGAGCTTGATGACCACCTAAAATAACTTTTCAACATGGAAAGGTGAGCCTTGCGGCATTCCACATACAGATTAGCTGAGCCTTTCAAAGGTATTGTTGAATTTATCTATTTCTGAGCATATCTTACTTTTAACCCAACTTAATTCTTTGGAAGGACATGCATTACTTCTGATACATTAAAAAAAAAAAAAAAAAGACCCTTTTCATGCTCTTGCTTGCTAAAACTCTACTAGAACTTTCAATGACACCATATTGCCTCTCAGACTATTCAACTGGAAATTGTATCAGGTAAACTCTCATTCATTATTGCACTACCCATCTTTTAAATTTTTAAAGAGATTATTAGGGGCTGTTTAAAATTATTACTATTCTTCCACTTCTTACTTTTTTTAGGTTTACTCTCCCATCACAATTATTGTCACATGCTACATTCCAGACTACATATATATATATATATATATTTTTTTTTTTTACCCAAGTACTACAATAGAAATGTGATACATCAATGGATTGTAAGAAAAAAAAACTACCCAGCTATGTACCTGGTTATATTCACACATTGTTACAGAGCTGAAACGGATTAATTAGGCAGTTAATAAAACTATTACAACAATAATTGCAGAAATTACTAACGTAAAAGTATCTTGGCCTAGATAGTTTATGTCTCAGTTAATAATAATGTTGATAGTAATACTAATAAGTTCTAATTATCAATGACCATTTGCTATGTTCCCAATTTAGTCTTTTAAATATACCTCTGAACAGTATTTGGCTCATAATGGTCACAAAACAAGTGTTTGCTAAATATTGACTAAATTCTTATATTAACTCTGTGTGAGACAGATGCCATTATTACCTTCACTTAATAGGTAAGGAAACTGAGTCATAAAAATGTCACTTGCTCACAGTCACTCCACTAACATTTGAAGGATCAGGATTTGAATCCAGATCTGTCTATCTCCAAAGTAGGTGTTCTTAACCACTACTGTTTTATGTTGCCTTTGGAAAAATATCCAAGAACTAGATAATTACCAGTGATGAAATCTGTTTCAGAATATAGAAAAGTATAACTCCCCTCTAACTCCATAAAATTAAAACAAAATTACAATCCCTCCTAAATGTATAAAATTAGAACTTCCTTATACAAAAGCCAATTAAATGTAGCACACACACACAAATCCATTGACCAATGTATATTTTAATCATAACTCACTATAATAAAGATGGCTGCTGCATATATTGCCATTTACCATGAGTCAGTCCTTTTGTGGTGCTTATATAATAACCGATTTTAGCTTTACAACTCTGAGGTAACCATTATTAAGATCATTTTACAGAGAAAAAGAAGTGGCACAAATTTGCACAGTCACTGTGTTAACCTAAGGACTCAAACTTGGTCCTTTTTTACTTCAAATGCTACATAAAGCCAGATAAAGTGTATGTCAAAAACTCTGAGATATTTCAAAATTGAGAAATCTATTAACATGCATCATTAGGACAAATGAGAAAAAAGCAAAATACTAAGATAAATTCTATAAAGGTATTTGTTAAGTTCACTATGCATTTTTGAGATATTTTTAAAAATCACTTGGTAAACTAGAACAATCCGTTGCATGATAAAACTATTTCTACCTCAAACCAACTGCCAACATCATGCTTAACACTAAAAGCGTTCCCAATGAAGTAAAACAGTTTTACATTGTCACCAATAGGTCTTAGCGTTGGTTTAAACATGTCAATCAATGCAATATGACAGGAAATAAAAATAACAGTTTAAATTATTGATAGAGAAGAAAACAAAAACACACTACTTGCTGTAAACCGAAACCACACTGTTGGATGCAAATATAGCCATTTAAAATAAAATGAGAGAGCTAGCCTTCAGAAAACCATTCTAAAAATAAGATAAACATAAATGCATACATTCTCATAAGGAGTGGCAAAGATATTGAGCAAAATGTTTTGGAATAAAGAATTAAAATGTGAGTTTAATGAAACTATATAATTTTTTGGCAAGTGTTTCTAAATATAGACTCTGTGTGATGGATACATTAAAAATTATTATGTTATTTTCTTTGTGTTAGAAAATGTCCATAATGGAAAGAATGAACAATGGCAGTCTGCGAAACAAGAGTACTGCAATTTTTGTCTCTAACTATATTTGTAATCTTGAACAAATTACATAACTCCTCTCTCTTGCTTTACTTTCCTCATTTAGTTCATCTTTTTCTAGATCATCCTTTCTGGTTCTGTAATTCTATTTTATTTTCAGTTGCCTTCTCAATTTTCTATATTGCAATATATTTTAATTCATAATGGTTCAATTTGTGATAATCACTGCTCAGCCACAAATTGAAAATTTAGCCAAAAAAACCCCACAGAAATGGCATTGCTTTGACTTTAAAATAGCATACTCTTCCTGTCTTTTTTGAGATCTAAAATTGTTTATCAGTTTGCGGGGTTCTCTTGGGTTTATTGTACTATTAGACACTGACACGTTTTAAAGGATCCTTAAAAAAAAAAAGAAACAAATGAAAAGAAAAAGAAAACAACCAAATCTGGCTTGTTCTGGGATGCTGAGATGTCTTGACAGCAATTACTGCAGTAGAGACTGGTGAATACCCTATTTTCACAGCTGATGTTTTCCTTCAAAATTGCAGCTACCTTCACTTTGGTTGAGGCCAGGGTACTATATTTAGATAGTATAAATGTATCCAGAGAGCAATCTTTCACGTTTATTTGTAGAGTGGGTTTATTTTTATTTATTGATGTCACACAAAATGATGTTTCCTCGGTTTCTGCTGTATATAACATACCAAAAAATAAAGACGGTCTAGAACACAAAGTAAGAATATATTCTGTGTGATTATATTGACAATGGTTTCGATTTTTATGCAATTATACTCCCATAATGTTGAAATTGTTAACACAAGTCTATGTTTACTATGTAAGAGGAAACTTTATTATGCATAATGAAGATGGCATGGGAATAAGGGAGTCTCTTATCCTTCCTGTCAACCTAAGGCCAATGTGTAATGCAAGAAACAAGTAGGACACAGGGAAAAGCAATAGCCATAACCAAGAGAACATCAGCTATCCCTCCCTCCTCACTTAGAAATAAAGAATGTTGGCCGGGCGCGGTGGCTCAGGCCTGTAATCCCAGCACTTTGGGAGGCTGAGGTGGGCAGATCACGAGGTCAGGAAATCGAGACCATCCTGTCTAACACGGTGAAACCGCGTCTCTACTAAAAATACAAAAAAAAATAGCCGGGTGTCGTGGCAGGTGCCTGTAGTCCCAGCTGCTCGGGAGGCTGAGGCAAGAGAATGGCGTGAAGCCGGGAGGCGGAGCTTGCAGTGAGCTGAGATCGCGCCACCGCACTCCAGCCTGGGCGACAGAGTGAGACTCTGTCTCAAAAAAAAAAAAAAAAAAAAAGAAAGAAAGAATGTTGAGAAAGCAAAGCATTAGTTTATACAACCTTCAAAATAAAAAATAATTTCAAGTCAAATTCTTTTTCCAACTTTATATGTGGGGTGTGTGTGCGTATGTGCGTGCAAATTAATAAGTCCTAGACAATAAAAAATTGATAGCACATAAATGGAGGGGCCAATTCTAGCACTTCTTTTTGTCTTTTTTCTCCATTATTGGATAATAGTGGTTACCAAATAGAATTCAACAACAGAACTGATTAAATATTTTCCCCCTAGGTTTTAATTTAGACTACACAACATGTATTTCAGTACTTCACATTATTAGTTATAAAATTTTTCTATTGTTCCCCTATTGAAAGTTTAAGAGAATGCCCATAAACTGAGTTTCCTTTTAGAAAAAAATCAAATAATGTCAACATCCTTTGCATCTCATTTCTTCTCTTTCAGACTTATGACTTAATCCTCATTAGTTATAATACTTTATTTTCATCTTTTTTATTTGATTATTTAAAACTTTAAGGTGCAAATGGGTTCATTTTGGAGACGATAAACAGGAAATTTTAAGATTTCTCTTGGCCCGTTATTTTAGATTGTCCCGTGATACACTGGGGGCAACTAGCGAAAGAAATGATAATTTGCCAATGACTCTTAAAATACTGAATAGTAAAATAACAAAATTCTTAGAATTGGGAAGTGATCTTAGGCCCAAACTCTCATGTGATAACAGAAGCCCTTCTAAAAATATCTCTGACAAAGGGTCACTTAAGTTCAACTTGAAACATGCCAGTGATGTTATTAGTTCTCAAAGCAGCCTATTCATTATTAAAATCCTTTTGAATTGAAAGTTACTCTCATGCGGCATGGTGGTCACTCCCGTAATCCCAGCACTTTTGGAGGTTGAGGCGGGCAGATCACTTGAGGTCAGGAGTGAGACCGCCTGGCCAACACGGTGAAACCCCTTCTCTACTAAAAATACAAAAATTAGCAGGGCCTGGTGGTATGCACCTGTAATTCCAGCTACTCTGGGGACTGAAGCAGGAGAATAGCTATAGCCTGTGAGGCAGAGGTTGCAGTGAGCCAAGATCGCCCCACTGAATTCCAGCCTGGGTGACAGAGTGACACTCTGTCTCAAAAAAAAGAAAAAAAAAAGTTACTCTCATGGGTCTGCACTATGGATCATTTTAGTGTAATCTGCACCCTCTTGCCAAATCACAGCCCTTTGAATATTTAAAAACAGTTATTAGGCCACATTTTCCCCACAGTCAGCCCAGGTTTTCTGCTGGAAAAATCACCTTCCATTCTTTAACTATCAATCCTTAAAGTTTTTATAACCATTCACCTTTCAGCTATCTAGTTTGTTAATAAGCTTAGATGCTAATGGACCTTAGCACAATACACTAACTTCAATGCAACGTGTAAGATGGGTACCAAACCGTAAGATATAAAATGGGTACTCAACAGTGTAATATGTTTCTTAATTAGGGCACCACTTTTCCATCAAAATTGTCTGAGTTTTTTTTTTTCCTTTAATAGCTGCACTCACTAGTTGATGATCTCAGCTTTTAGCAAACTAAAATTCTCAGACCTTTGCACATTATGTATTAGCTAGATATCTCCCTGTACTTATTCTTGTGGATTTGAAAATGCAATTATAGGACTTTAACCACCCCCTCCAGATCTCCCATCTGTGTTGCCTTTGCTTAAACCTTTTTCTTCATCCAAAATACTCCTACCTCTGCTGTGCAAAACACTTTATCTTGGGCTTAAACTCCCTTGGGTCCTTATTACCCCTGCTACTGTATCACTATGCTTAATGGAGAAGATGAAATTTACATAGGAGGCAAACAATCCAGGTTTCTCTCTTCATCTGTCATTACACCATCTTACTGAAGCTGGTCCCTTCGTTGTTCAGCCTTCTCCGGTAGACAGAGACAAATCCGTGTTACACAAGTCTGCTTATTCCGACTTTAGTCTTGATGAGTCCACATTTACTGGCTCAGTGCATTCTCGCTCTCTCTCACTCAAATTATTTTTGGTTTTGCAGGCATCCTTTGAAATACACTTTTAAAATATTTTGAGTTGTGAACTTTTAGATGGAGATAGGATTCCATGAGGGTGCAAGGGCTGTTTCATGGCTTTGGTATGCAGTGTAAGACTCAGAGTCAAATGTGTCTGGGGGTGTGTCCCAGGCCCATGTGGGGCAAGCCACTGTTTCCTTTACTAAAATGCAGCATAAAATTCATACCTGCCTCAGAGGTCAAGGAAGAATTACATAAGATTAAAAAAATAAAATGTTTAAAATAATATCTTTATCAAATTAAGTACTCAATAAATATAATCTATTAATATATTAATTATACTATTCTAGATATAAAATGATCATCAAAAGAAATCAGAAAATGACAAACTCTTTGCTTTTTGGAACACAAGACATCTGGTGCCTATGCCATTTCTGTTGCCAACATTTGGAATGTGCCTCCCCTCTCATTGCTCATTATCTCCAAATATCCAAACCCTACCTTCCCTTTGATGCCAAGTCAAAATGTGACCTCTTCTTCTGAAGCCCTCATTACCCCTAGATTTGATTCCTGCTCAGTGACGATCTTGAAGGTATGGCATTTTTGCAACACATCCTTCAATCCCTATCATCTGGCATAAACCTGGATCACAGTAGGTACTTAATAAATGTCTGTTATATGAATCAATGACTACCTTTCCCGCAGCCATCATTAATTTCTTCCTCTCCTGATTTTGTATATCCTTATTGCACATAAATATTTACCATGCATCATAATTATTTGTGCATGTGTCTCTTCTGCCTTGCAGGACTATAAAGCTTTTTGAGCACTCCATGTCAAATTGACCTCTGGCTACCTTGCAATTCCTTAATACATACTAGACACTGAAAAATACTTTTGAATGAATTAATATCTGCTTTTCTCTATTGCTACAGTATTTTTTGTCCATGGAAGTTCTGTAATCTGTACCAGGAAAATAATTAACCATAACTCACCTTTGTAGGAAAAGGATTAACCATAAACTGCCTTTTTCTGAGACATCTGTTCCATAATCTAATGACCAACGCTATTTATACAGTTGATCTATCTACAACCCCTTCAACTGTAAAAAGCATATGGAAAATGTATGTTCAATTCTAGAGGAGGAATATTTTGGCTATCCTTTTGTGACTCCCTTTATCTTTGATGCTCACGTATAATCCACCTTAAAAGGCTGTGAGTGAGGCAGAAGGAGGATCACATCACTTAGATGAGATCTTGCCTGACACCACTAGATTTGGGCCTTCCTATGAAACTCCCAAGTTTCAGTTATTATTATATCGAAATGACTTCTATTGAACACTAATCATTCAATGGTCAGTTAATTTTTATTGAGTATCTCTATGTACACAGGAGACTATGTGGGATGCTATAGAAGATACAAAACAAACTAAGGGTCTGTTCCCTGTTTGGAAGGTAAGATCTATATATACAAGTATATACACACCAGTGAAAAGTAATATACAAACTGAACCCTAAAATTACAGATGTAAAAAAATATATACCACAGACTGGGAGAAACTATTTGCAAAAGATATATCTGATAAAGGGCTGTGATCCAGAATAGTTGTGAGATCCACACAAAGAACTCTTGAAACTCAACAAAAAGAAAACAAGATAGATTTAAAAATGGGCAAAATATCTGAAATTACCAAAATGAGATATACAAATGGCAAATACATACATGAAAGATACATAGCATCATATATCATTAAGGAATTGCAAGTTAAAACTACAGTGATACACCACTATAAACCTAGTAGAATGGCCAAAACCTGGGACACTGACAACACCAAAGGCTGGTGAGAATGTAGAGCAACAGGAACTCATTCATTGTCAGTGGAAATGCAAAGCAATACAGTTACTTTGGAAGACATTGTAGTAGTTTCTTACTAAATCAAACATACTCTTACTACATGATTCAGCAACTGAACTCCTTGGTATTTAACCAGAAGAGCTGAGAATTTATGTCCACACAATAATCTGTACATGGATGTTTATAGCAGCTTTATTCAAAATTGCCAAAACTTATAGGCAACCAAGATGTCCTTCAGTAGGTGAATGAATAAATAAACTGTGGTACATCCAAGCAATGGAATATCATTCAGTGCTAAAAGAAATGGGCTATCAAGCCATGAAAAAACATGGGGAAGTCTTAAATGCATATTATTATACTAAGCTAAAGAAACTAATCTGAGAAGCCTACACACTGTATGATTTCAACTGTGTGACATTCTGGAAAAGGATAAACTATAGAGACATAAAAGAACACATTGGTTGCCAGGATCTAGTGGGGAGAGAGGGATGAATAGGTAGAGTACAGAGGATTTTTAGGGCAATGAATGTACTCCGTGTGATATTATAATGGTTAGTACTAGTCATTATACATTTGCCAAAACCCACAGAATGAACACCAGGAGTAAACCCTAACGTAAACTATGGACTTTGTGTGATAATGATGCACCAATGTAGGTTCATCGATTATAACAAATTACCACTCTAGTGAGGGATGTTGATGGTGGGGAGACTGTGCATGTGTAGGAGCAGAGAGTATTTGGAAAATCTTTGTAATTTCGCTCAATTTTTTTTTTTTGTGAACCTAAAACTACTCTAAAGAATAAAACTTACAAAAAAACATATATATGTTATGTGTATATATATATATATATATATATACACACACACACATATATATAATAATACATATTTTATATACCAAAGAAAGCTGATTAAAACTTTGTTTAGAAGTACAGTAGGACCACAGAAGAAACAAATTTCTGGGGGTACTCAGGAGTTTACCCGAGATTACGTAATACCAACAGGAATCAATGTTTCTTCAGCACAAACTGATTTTGGAATGATCGAAACAATGTATATGTACTTTCTCATTTAATATCCACAACAAACTAATAAAGGAAATACTATTATTATCTCTATTTTGTAAATGGCTTGAAACTTATTATGGTGAATAACTTCCTCAAGGTCACAGAACCAGTGAGGGGTATAAGTGAGATACGAACCCAGTCCTGTCCAACTGCACAGCTGAGGTTCACCAATATCCTATACTTCCAGTCTTGGGAAAAGAAAAAAAATAAAAATTCAGTTGGACAAAAGCAACAGAAAGAGAAGTCCAGGTGGGAGAAGTCTGATTAACTTCTGGAAACTTTGCAATCTATGACAGTTTTATGATTCACTTATTTTTATTTAATATTTCTTCAACACTACTAGTCTATCTCCAATGTGAACAGAGGCAACAGTCTTTCTGTTACATAAGAATCATGTACATATGTATGTTTATATTCAATTTATAAGCAGTCTGTCTTTTTAAGAAGACTTATTAAGGAGAAGTAATTTTTCATAGGATCAGTCTTGGGGCTAAGCAATTATATTTGCTATCTTTTTAATACTAGTAGTCATATTTCTTCCCTAATTGATTATTGAACCTTTCTAAATATGTCTGAAGACATAGATTGAAATTATCCTAAGGCTCGACCTCTTTTTTTAATTGTGACTAACAAATTTTAATACAAGGCAAACAGCAAAACATGGCAGGCTGAAGGAGTAATTTCTTGCACCTATAGCCGGAGTTTTTTTAAAGAGCTACGCAATTTTTGTTGATCTTCCACTGGCTTATCTACAGCAATTGAAGTTTATCAGAAAGATTTATGACATGGTATTGCAGGCCCTAATAAATGACTTTGGGAAGCTGGGAAAACTCACTAAAGTTAAAGTTATTATCTGAACCTCATAGGGCTAATTAGAGATACAACCTGAAGTGTTGAGTCAGCAGTAAGAAACACAACACGTTATCAATTAAAGCCTCCATCTAGGCTTGGAGAAGAGGTGGGGAAAAGAAAAGATTTGCAATGAAAATGAATCATATGTTTAAACACCAGAGCCAAAAATTAGTCCTCAAAAGCATTTCCTGAACTCTCTGGAAATGTCGATGGGGTCAGCTCTCTGCTTAAAAAGGGACCCTTCCAAGGCATTCTCAAAGTAAGTTACCAAAGTTGCTTTGCATATGTATAACAGGAAGATCTGAACATATACAGATGTGGGGGTTCCAGAAAGCAAGAAAAAACTCTACCTCTTCCCCACATCTCTTCTTCTGAGGAATAGGCAAAATCTTCCTTCCCCAACACAGCTCTGTGACACTGTCAATTTAAAACATTTTCATGCAAATCAAGTTAACATTTAAAAAACAAACAAACAAAACTTGCACTATGAATGACGTAACCCCTTCTCAAATACTGGACTTTAACTACTGCCATTGAAAACAGGGTGGTTTTTCTTAAGCATTTCTGACTTGATGCTGCTGTTTTCCTGAGATGCGACCAACTAAAAATGACTTAAAAATCCCTGCACCTTCCTGGTATTAATGGAAAGAGGTAGTGGGGTGTTACAGGGAGCTAACTTTTTTCATGGTTTTCTTAACTGAGTTACAAAAATAACAGAAAATTGCCTCTGTGCACATGTGTTTAATGTGTCTATGCATGAAAAGCCTTGGGGATAAAGGGAGAAGTAGATATTTTCAGAATGTTTGATTATGATTGTTTGTATCAGAATCTGTTTAGACAAGAAAATCAGAACTGAAAGTAGACATATGTTAAAACATTTTCAGCCCATATCCTTCTGCTTTCATGTTGAAAATTGAGGGCCATAAAATAATAAACATGTATTAGATTTATTGAGTTCCTTTAAGTCGGCAAGATCCCCAGAGTGTTGTGCAAAATAACAGCAACTTTTGAATTACAAAATTATTACATGTTCCCATGAAGATTATTTAACCCAGAGATGAATAAGGAGAATGGGTAATAAAGAGACCTGAGAGGGATTTTCCACACCCTTCTCCTCAATCCATAATTTAAATACAGTCATAAACTGTGAGTAAGCAATATAAGCATTTGTGTGCAGCATATATTTGAGCCTGAAAGGTAGAAGGCAGTGTTTAAAAATATGTTTTTAATAAAGCCTATAATACAGAATAGACAAACACCAAGGTAAAGATGGATTAGAAGAACAAGTATTAAATGAATACACCTTCTAGCAAAAATCATTTCTTGTTATGTGCCTCAAAAAAGAACAATCTTCTTTAGATAGTATTTTAAGCAACTGACTAGTGTGTATGTCTTTACACAGCCATAGAAGAGTTTCAATGAGTACTTCTCACCGATTCAGTGAGCCAAATCATAAAGCCTCAGGCTGTCAGAAAAAAAAAAAAACAACCAACTGTAAATTTTGACAAGAATGTGACAAAAATATATAAGATAGATTCACTAGCATTTCTAGAGTGAAAAATTACTAGAATTGGCCCACGGCCTCTATTGCTGAAAAATTTAATGTAATTACTTTTTTTATGATATTGTCTAGACTCTCCAGCATTGGCAGAATTTTTGTTCTATGTCTATGCTGGAAATAAATTAAATAAAGACCTAGGTTTTCTTCCTTCTATTGTAAGAACTATGTCCTCTTCAAGATGAATGTGATTATGGTTTAGCAAATGAATGTGAAGGTAAAGGTGTTTAGGAGAAAATACAAAAGTAAGATCTTAACGTTGTACTTAACAGAATGTGTCCGTTAGTAAGAATACTAAAAAGCAGGATTGTAAGGAAGAAATTCTCCAATGTAAAACAGCTTGCATGTCTTCTGGGAATCTTGTAAAAATATAGAATCTGATTCAGTAGATCTGGAGTGGGCCTAAGAGTCTGCATTCCTCACAAGCTCCCAGGTGATGCTGATGCCGCCAGTCTGCAGGTTAACACCTTAAGTAGCAAGGTTATAATGTATGGGGAAGATTCGTGGATAGGGTCAGTCTTTTAAAAATCTTTAAATAATTTGAATGTAAATTATATGAAATTTCTCTGTCTCCTGGTTTCATAAGTGTTTTCTTTTTTTTTTCTTTAGACAAAATTGGAATAGCAGTTTGACTATGACATTCTAATTGGTGTGTGTTTCAGCTAGAGGAAGATTATAACAAAAGAGTATTTCTCCAAAATAAAGTTTTCCTTTATTTTGCTTTTGTAAGTAGCTCAACAAAAAAGAGAGTGTGGCTCTGTGTTTGATTTTACTTCCTTTAAATTCAAAAGCAGGCACTAAAAATACCTTTGAAAACTATAGTAATGAACTACTGTGGTACTAGGCTCAAGAAATCTGGGGCGTTCCTATGGACTTAGTGGCAATTGAAGCAGTCAGATTTTCAGATTTAGCTGCCATCAGCTGTGGATTGGACAGTGACATAGTCTAGGACAGATGTCAATTTTAGCCTTCTTCTAACATAAGTCTGGAATACATTTTAATTCACCAGCAGGAAGGATTTTGTTGCATGTAAGTTAGAGTTTAAAGCCAGGTTTATTTTTGTTTGGGAAAAATTCTGTGCATCTCAAAAGGCACAATACCTGTGTGTTAACCTGTCTTTTTTTTTTTTTCGGTTGGTATTACAGAATTGCTGATAAAGCTTTACATTTACATTGGCCAGTAGACTAGAACAGATTCCTCACGTCTCTGTAAGAGCTTTGTGCTGCTCACTTGATCCAAGTTAAAATCTCTCCACATCTTAAGTTGAAAATTAACATACGGGAATTTAATCCTGACATAGCCACTGCATCAACTTTTGTCTAGTTTACGCTTTGCCAGAATGTCTTACCATTATGTGTCTTTATCTTTTGGAAGGCTAGGTATATTGAAAATCTTTTAAAAATAATTTTAAGAAAAGAATGTAAACAATAGAAATTTATTCACTTTCTTATGGGACACATTTCCTGCCAAATGCTCCCCACAAAGTAAACACCTTAGGGTCTTTTTTATTTGGAAAATGTAAGGAGATACGTAAGTGTGGATATAGATTCTTCTAAAATGTCCTAAAAGAAATAAAATTGCAAGTTTTCCTTTGTCTTTCATCAGAGCTTTCTTTGTCATGTCTAAAGCCCCGCGGCAGGGATTAGGGAGATGCAAAACCTTACTGTAAACAGGGAAGGGTTGAAAGAAAAGGTTCATTAAAAAAGAAAAAAAAAAAAACTATCATTTGAATGTAATATGTGAAAAATGTTTCTTCCAGGTTGAGTGAAAAATATACTAAAAAAGTGTAATCCTAGCTTAAGAGATTTTGTTTTAAAATCCTAATTCTGCTAACAAGGCAAAAGGAACTTAAGATACGGATGTATATAAAGCCTCCCGGTTCACCCATCAGTCTTTGAAACTGCCACACCTAAACTATCTGTTTTAGTGCCATTCTCCTATATTTACTCCAGTCATTTTTATATTTCAGTTTTGCTCTTAATTTTTTTTCCCAACAGTATTCAAGAAGAAGGATACCAAAAAAAGCATTCCCATAAGTATTGTAAAAAGTCTCTCTCATGGGTTTGTTTTTAGAAAAATGTTAAGCCATGTTTTTGGTTCAGTGGAAGAAGGAGCCTGTGATAGTTTTAACACGTGTACCCAATTAGTTGTTCTGGACTTCAGCAAATGTTCTGCTTGGAGCAGCTGTTAACAGATTCTTGCTCTATTGTTAATCAAAAAGCCAATAATAAAAAGGCAAATTAAAAGGCAATTTAATATTATACTTGTAATTATTCACTTTGTTTCTCATATAAGTGCAATCTCATTTCAATGCAATGCTTTCAAAGAAAACATATATAAGGTAGAGGAAAATATCAATATAAAATTAAAATTTTAAAAAATGGTACTATATACACCTTTATAAAATATGACTAGGGAACTCCAAAAAAATGTTCAAGGACTAAGTTCCAAATACATACGTATGCACACACACCAACATGCACACATGCACACACACATAAATGAATGCATATATTCTCAGGCAAAAAGTAGACCTTAGGCCCAGAAACAAGATATTTGCAAAGTATTGATCAGAATACTATTTATAGTTTATTTTTAGGGATAAACACATTAATGTAACTTCATCTTCAAAACTTTTTAAAAATAATTACTTTTCAAAATAGGCAATGTGCTATGCAATGGAGACGCATCTATCTACAACAGGAAATGAAAGTACAAACATCCATTCCCACAGTCTTAGATTGTTGTTTAAATATAGATATATATTTCATTAAAGTATAAAAATTAAGTCATTGACCTTTACTGATTTGATAATAGTACTTAGTCTCTATTTATTAAATATTGTCATCTTTCTGGAATTTACTATAATACATACCGGTTAAGTTATTAAAATTTAATCTTTTCACATATTATTAAACAAAACCTCTCACTTATTCTGTCCTTACTGTGGCAACAACTGATGCCACAAAAGTTATATTTCCACTAAAGCATTTTAAGGGAATTTTGAGTAAGTTACTTACTGATCATTTGATGAGATCTGTTGACTAAATGTGGCTTTAATTGCTGATACTTGAACTTAGAGTGCGATACTAACAGGATTTATTATTCACTAAGCACTTACAATATGCCAGACAATGTTTTAAGCACTTTAGTTATCTCGTCTGTTTTTTTGTTTATTTTTTGAGACCGACTCCTACTCTGTCACTGAGGCTGGAGTGCAGTGGCACGATGTCAGCTGACTGCAACCTCTGCCTCCGGGTTCAAGCGATTCTCCTGCCTCAGCCTCCCAAGTAGCTGGGATTAGAGGTGTGCCACCAAACCTAGCTAATTTTTTGTATTTTTAGTGGAGACCGGGTTTCGCCATGTTGGCCAGGCTGGTCTCGAACTCCTGACCTTAAGATCCGCCTGCCTCAGCCTCCCAAAGTGCTGGGATTATAGGCATGAGCCACTGCCCACTGCGCCCAGCCTTATTTCACCTCATTTAATCCTTACAATTACTTTAAAAAGTAGGTAGAATAATAAACTCCATTTTACATATGATGAAACTAAGGCACAAAGAACAATGATCACACAGCTAGTCAGTGGTAGAACTCTGTAATCTGTGGGTTCCACATCTGCCAGAGGATGTATGTAAGTGATGTGCAAACACTACTCCATTTTATATAAGGGACTTAAATATCAACACTATGGATTTTGTTGTGTGTCTGTGTGCAGGGGAATGTTTCTGGAACCAATCCTTGGAGGAACAACTGTACCTTATACACTACATTGAAGGCTCACAATAAAAGTCTTTCAACCAGGAGAACATAGAGTAAGATACAAAACTGTGGGATATAGACTATGACTCTTTTGATTAGTATGGAAGAAAACATCCTAGTATTTTGTTATTGGAAGAAAACATCCTAGTACTTTGTTATTAAGGATTAGCGAGATTGAATCATTGATGTACTTACAGCAAATCTAAAGTAAACCATACAAAATAGAACTTTCCTCAAGATGACTAGAGGTCAATAAAGCTATGGGTTATTTACAGTGTAATATGAAACAGCATACAACCGCAAGGGAGAAGGACATACTAAATAAACAAAACCTGCAAAGGCAATTTTCTTCAGAGAATCTCCTCATGTACAAAAATATATTTCAAGAGAAAGTAGTATAGTTACTGCGTTTTCATAAAAAGTCTGTTTGGTGATAACATATGCTGAATACAACTAAAGGCAGTTCTTCAAGTCTAGGCAGACAAGCTGCAGTACAGCAGATACACTTGCTGTTTAAATATCCCTTCAAAAAAAAAATTCCATTTGTTTACCAAAATCTATTCACACTTGTTGAAAAGCATCTTTCTTCACTTATCTGAATGTGACAATGAATCAAAAGTACCTTCTCTTCTGTTACCAGAGGTGATAAGGGAGAAACTGAGATCCTCACCAGAGGCTGAAAGATGTCTTTTCAGTGCTCTTGAAAGCAAAGGCTAATTTTTCCAAACAAAAATTTCTCCCTAAGGAGCTGTATTAATGAGGTCCAAAGTAATGCTTAACCCTTGACTACTCTAATTAACTCAAGCTGACTGGCCAGAAGCCCTCTTTCCTGTGGCCTATATGGGAGAGATCACAAAAGTGCATGGTAACCCTATCCCCACTTGCTGTTTTCACAAAACATGGGGCTTTGTTCTTTGTTTGGCGGTTGTGAAGACATTTCAGTCTCATCTGACATCACCTCCTCACATGGAAGAAGTGTGCATAGAAACACCTAGCAGCAGGCTGCTTGTCTCAGTGTGTTCCATAACCCTTGCTAGCACAAAGACTCATTTCCAGCTCCCAGAGGTAGCATCCATTAACACATGTTCCTTGAGAAATCTGACTTTTCTTTTCAAAAATGGGAACGAGTGTATTCTTGCTATACTTTTTTCCAAATGCTCCAAATACACAATAAATTATCAAGTAATCAGGCCTAGTTATGCGATTCCCAGCTTTCAATACAGGTATATTAGAGGAATTCATTTATTCACTCATTTGTCTAGCACATCTATTGAAAACCTTCTACATGGTAGATACAAGGCTAATTTGGTTTCATTGAATCTTTCCTAAGCAATTAAGCCCAGAAAAATTTGTCTTCTCTCTGTTTGCTAGAGCGATAGATACTAAAGTATCTATAATACTCAATTTATTAGTAGTAAATTTAAAATGTAATTACATTTATTTCAACTTACATTTACCAATGAGTACCTTTGATATGCCAGGCACTTTTCTAAATGCCAGGGATACAGTAGTGAAACAAACAGACAAAAACCTCTGCCCTCCTGTAGCTTTAATTCTACAATGGAGGAACAGAAAATAACTTCAATAAGTGAATGAAATATATAATGTGAGAGAGAGGTAAAAGAAGTGAGCAGGTGGCACTGAAAGAGTGGACAGAGAAAGCCTCACTAGAAAGGTGAACTTGTAAAGATGAAAGGAGGTAACGAACCATGTTAATGTCTGGGAAAAAAGCATTCAGGGCAAGGAAAGACTACATAGAAAGGCTTGGAGGTGAAAGCAAACATGGTATTTGGTTGGAGCAAATGGGTCATGTGGTTGGAGGAAAGTAAATAAGGGTTAAAGTGTGTGAGGGGTGCAGTCAATGGTAAACTTTTGGATTTTACTCTGGGGAAGATAGGTACTCATTAGAAGGTTTTGAACAGATAATTGACACAGTCTGATTTAGGGTTTTAAAAAGCTCATTCTCAGAGTCTTTGGGAATAGGTTGAAAAGCATCTAAAACACAAGTTCAGAGAACAATTAGCAGACTATTGAAATACTATGAAGTGATTAAACTTTATTGAATTTTAATTATAATCAAGCACATTATGGTAGAGGCAATGAGATTTACTGATAGATTGGATGTGAGATGCAGGATGAAGGAACTGCACCTTGAACTCAAGATGATTTCAAGGTTTTTGGAAAAGGCAACAGGCAGTATGAATTGCTATCCCTTCAGATGGATATTGTGGAAGGAGTAAATTTTGAAAGGAATATCAGATTAATTGTTGACAACCAAAATTTGTATAAAATCAGGTAATAAAAAGGGGATGTGAGTTTAGAATATAAAAGTAAAATGTGGACGTATCACATACAGATGGTATTAAAAGCCGTGAGAGAGAATGGGATATCCAGGGGAGTGGCTATAAATAGAAAAAGGAAGAGGCCCAGACCTGAGCTCTCAGGGTATTGAGGAAGAACCAGAGAAGGAGACCAAGGAGAAAGAACAGGAAAAACAGAAGAAAACCCAGGAAAGTGTATAGCTCTAGAAGTCAAGTGAACAAGTGTTTTGCTGAGGAGGGAATGATCAACGATATAAAATGCTGCTTGTAGTCCATGAATATGAAGACTGAGAATTGACATTGATGGTTACTGTTCACCTTAATAAGAATATTGAATACATTATTTACCTAATTAAATTCTAGACTCCTGGTAGTCAGGACTTGTCTTAAGCAGGGAATTGAGACTGAGTCAAATTTGAAAGTTATTTTATACTTAAGTTGTCTAGAACTCTGAACATCATTTTTCATATCACATACGATATTTCATTATAGATTCTAGTGACTTCTCAAGAAAGCCTACTTTTTCCCATTGTTAATACGTAGAACCAGACCAAAATAATAGAACCATAAAATGTTAAAGTATCCAGTTTGGTGATTATTACAAATGCATACAGTTGTATTCACCATAGCAGCAACATATAAAATATTTCCATCACCCCCAAAACTTCCATTGTGCCCTGCTGTGCTCAGTTCCCTTCCTCCACCCCAACCCCTGACAATCATTCATCAGACTTACCTCCCTGCAATTTTGACTTTTCTAGAATGCCTTAGAAGTAAAATCATTTAAGAATTTAACTTTTACACTATTATTTAAAAATAATTTCATCAGTAAATATATACCAACCATAACTTAAATGTTTAAAATATATCTTTTCTTCTCACTACCACATCTTTAGTCTTAAAATGGTCCTCAGAGATCCCAGTTCCTCCTGCTGTGACCTTAGCTTCTAGAAGTTCTTTAGCCCCTTTGAGTTTATAAATACATTGATTTATAATTCATCATACATTTATTAATAATTATTTCAAGGAATAGTCAGAACTCATTTGCATATATATACAAACATAGATATGTATGTAAGTAATATGTATACAAACATATACATGTACGTACATGAGTAACAACAGAAAATGAGTTCTGACTACTCCTTGAAATAGTAAATTATTAATTTATTGTTTTGGAACTGTCTCTAATCCTTTATATTCTGAACACTGAGCACAATAACAGTAACTGTAATGGTCCTATAATCAATTATTGATATGTAGAAAATGTTGCAGCTACATTACCTATGAAATCACAATGTTACTTCTCAGTAGTCCTAAATTTCAGAAGTAGCATTTGAATGTAAAAATTGGCACATTTGAATACAATCTATATAATCTTTGTCGTTGTTGCTGTTGTTGTTGTTTTAATTCAGTCTCTTAGTAACACAGAAATGTATTTCCAGAGTTTTCCCTCTTATGTGCCTTTAAGCATATAAGATTACACATCTGGCTTTGTACCAAAAACAGGGCCCAACAGGATATGAAATCCTGGGGATAACAGCAACCTAGCTATTTCTTTTTCAAGAATTTTTTTCAAACTGAGCCAGAAACTGAAAAGACAGATGAAAATGGCACAACCCGGTGACAAGAGAGCAAAGATAAATCACGTTTCCTTCCATAAAAACATTAAGATCTTGGCTTTAATATTAATATTTTTGGTTACAGTTAAGCTTTAAAGTTAATGAAATTCTCATTTGTATGCTGATCTTGGGACATGAATACCAAGTTGTAGATGGGATAGAGATTAGCAATAAAGAAAATTAAGGAAAAGAAAATGAAAAATTCCCATAGAGTTTAACATGCATACACATATGCCCACACTCATATGTGGGTAATATGAGAGAACCTGCATATTTTTTGGAGGTTGCCTTTTTGCAGGAGTTGAAACTATTCATCATTTTGCTGCACTTTCCTGTGGTATAACCTAACTAAGATTTTTGAGCAAAAGATAGTTTTTGTTTTTGGAAAATTATGAGTAACTTATACGTGACCTGTTTACTCCATTAGGAAATATGCTGTTTTATTCAATGGATCATAGGAACAGAACGAAGCAGAACAATAGCAGGAAAGAAAAAATTACAGTCTTAGAAATAAAAACGTATTTCATCCATTTTGGCACCAGGACTGAATTAAAATGCTGCCACTAGGCAGGATTTTAAACATACACCCTTTTCGGCATACAATTTTAATACAGAAATTGAGATATTAGGCATGCAGCGCATATTAGAACATTGCTCTTTCTGCTGCAGGTGTGTTTGACTGACCCTGAATAAATGTCAAGAAAAACACCTTTCCTATCTTTTTTTTCTGGCTATAATTCACCTTCTCTTAATATTTAACTATTGCTCCATCATTATAACAGGCACTCTGTTTAAGTCGTGGGTACAGGTAAAATTCAGCAGATAAAAAATAATCATATTGGAACATACTAAATGTAATGGAGATTTTTGGTTGAGAAAAATAATTGGTACTGCTAATATAACTGATATAGTCATCATATTTCCTATGGATTTACAAAAAAAAATTTAAAAAAGCAAGTAAGATATAATAGAAGCAAAAATAGGAGGTGAATAATTTTCTGTCTTTGGAATCAGTGTACTTTATTATTACACATTCATTCTAAGCCTACGTCAGAAAATACTTGAAGCAAATAAATAGAGAACAGTTTTCTTTTCTTTTTTCGTCCCTTTTCTTCAAGAGAACATCTCATTAACATTAACAGAAACTGTGCCCAGAAAAAGCCATTAACATTAATGGAAACTATGCATAGAAAAACCCCTAGATTAGTTTTTGGTCTTTTAAGGAGCTTATGCATTGCTGCCTGTCCCAAAAAGACAGGATGGGAAGATAGTAATCACATTTTTGCCCCATCTTTTTAAATTATATATTTCATTAAATTATATTTAATAAATCCTGAGTTGGAAACAGCACAAGGAAACTCAAGCTGCAATAATATTTACTCTCCCAATAAACCTGGAGCTTTCACAAACCATGTGTCTTACTGAGAGTCACTGAACAAGTTATACGACCATGATTCTCATGAACATCCTCTTTGTGCTTGCAATTAGGCTGCCTGCCAGGAGTTGAAATGATTAGCAGTAAATATAAATTTAATAGCTTTGCTTTGCAGTTCCCCAGTCACTCTTGGTGCCTCCATTCACTAGGGAGATAATGTGAATCAGACCCTATCAACTAAACATACGACAATAGTTGAATCTGAATTAAATATGAGGGAATCTTAAAAGGGCAAGGTAAAATAAAAAGAAAAATTAAAATATGTTCTCTATTTAATAGCCACTTTACATTTACACCAAAACACTGCGCTATTTTTTATAAATATCAGCCAAACTCAAAGTATTAGTACATAAATCATATATAATCTAAAATTTTTAAAAACCTGATAAAAAGAATGCTTGAAAAAGTATAGGTTTTCTTTTTTTTGTCACTTGAAATAGAATTGTGAAAAATATTTACATTTCAAATATCATTTTGCTTAGCTGTTAGAGTTCCTTAGAGTTCGGTTTTCTGAAATTTACCAATACTTTCTCATCCTCTTTCACATCATCATCAGGGCTCCACAGGAAACTGTCAATAGGTATCAATTTAATGTGCCTTCTTTACTAGGTGCCTTACTATATGTCTTATCACTTATCTCTCAATTTAGGAGACACAAAACTAGAAGACAGCAATGACCAGGAAGTCTTGTGGCTATGCTGTAGAATGATGATGACGTATATAAAATATGGAAAGTCTTTATGCTTTGCTTTTGTTCTCATCAGAAATAGTCCCTAAGTCTTAAATTGTGATAAAATACTCCTTCACATTTTCTTTCAGGTACAATAAAGGTCAGATAAATAAGAAGCAAAAGAAAAAGAGTCAGGGAAGAGAAGAACAGTTTTCGGCTTAGCCTGATGGCAAAGGGCTTTTAAACACTCCTCAAGGAACATTAAGCAAAAATGAGCCTACTGAAAACAACTTTCCTTGATTTTACTCCCCAGTTACTTTCGTTCTTCTCTATAACTTCCCTTATCCTTTCATCATAGATGTCTTCCTTCATCACTATTCAATATTTAAAACAGCTGAAAGATTGGTTACTGGGTAAGAAAAAAAGATACGATAGCTACCAGGTTGAGCAGAGATATCTTTGAGCTCTACCATGATAGCTGAGATGTTTGTCCTGCTCAGCACTGCCTGGCACATGGTAGGAGCTATAGGTGAAAAGATATCTCTGAGAAGATATGAGTTTGTTGGTACTAGGGCAAAGCATGGAGGAAAAAAGAAAAAAGAGATAGAGAAAGACCATGAGTCATAATGACATCTTTCGTCCCTTCGAACCAACTTTTCTTGAGTCCATAGTATTATATGCTCCGATGCTTTAGCCAATTAAGTTAAATCCATCCTTATGCATTTTAAAGTATTCGAACTAAAATAATATCATCAGGAAACATGTGAGTAAAAGAAGGGCCACCTCATTACCTTTTGGCAATAAAAGGCAGAGTTTAAATTATAAATATTTACAGAAATATATACACCAATGGATTTCCAAGAAAATGTGAATGATATGCCACTTAGGAAAATAAAACGATCTCCCAGTATAAAATTAATCTCACTGGAATTGCTGAATACACATCTGATGCTCAAAAAGAATACTCCAAGAAAATATAAATTGTTTAAATATAAGTCTTAATAAGCAGGATGTTAAAAACTAAATAAAGTGACAGGGGATGCGGTGGCTCAAGCCTGCAATTCCAGCTCTTTGGGGGAGCTGAGGGGGGTGGATCGCCTGAGATCAGGAGTTTGAGACCAGCCTGGCCAACATGGCGAAACCACATCTCTATTAAAACTACAAAAATTAACCGGGCATGGTGGCGGGCGCCTGTAATCCCAGCTACTCAGAGGGCCAAGGCAGGAGAATCACTTGAACCTGGGAGGTGCAGGTTGCAGTGAGCCGAGATCACACCACTGCACTCCATCATGAGCGACAAGAGTGAGACTCCATCTCAATAAATAAATAAATAAATAAATAAATAAATAAATAAAGTTATGATGAATAACAAATCAAACGGAAGCAAACTGATCCTCAAGGTGGTAAAACTCAAGAAAAACCCTATGATTTTGCTGATCTCTTAGCTGATGCCACAGAAAGCCAAACACAAACAAACAAGAGAAATTATCCTATCTGAATACATCAGTTTTATGATATTTATGTAACTACTAAAGCATTTTTTTTTAAGTATAACTGATGCAAAACTGGAGGAACGCAAAGTCAGCTTTCTTTGATCAAAGCTCCTATAACTTCTGATTAAAATAATAATTGGATATAGTTCGGACTACTCCACATACATTCTTTCACTGAAATTGGACATAATTTAGTGAAGCAAGATGCTGAGAAGTCTACTGCCTTGGCAGATTTCCACTGAAATATGTTTAAAAGCATAGTTTTTCTCCACATGGAAAATAAATTGTAGAAAATTAAATGTGAGTTTATATAGGATTACTTTTTTTAATAAAATAATTATCAGATATCCAAAAAGGGAAGAGAATTAGCAAGTTAAAGAAATTTTATTTTGCTTGAACAACAACTAAGTTTCATAAACCATGCTCCATGTGTCCTAATATAAAAACAAAACTATTAATTTTAATGTACAGGGCTATGAAATGGAATTTGGAAATTATGTTGCTAGACCAATTTGGTTCCTTTAAAAAAGGCAATCTTTATAGATGCCCAGCAAAAAGAAAGGAGGGCCTATTTAGAGCCATGTTAGAATCATGTACTGTCCAGGTATTAAGAAAGCCACTTTGGCCACTCCAAAAAACAACAATAAAATTATTTACTTTAAGGCAAGGCAGAAAGTCTCCACATTAAATTTTTGAATTTTTACTTGAATTGACTCCAAAACAAATCAAACTGAATTACAGTTGAAAGTTAAGTGAAGCTAAATATAATTTATATTTTCTATATCCTATTCCAAAACAAATATTTTCTATGTAATACTCCAAACTATAAACGCCAGACACTATGATCAGCACATGTTATCTCATTTTTTCTTCCATAACTAATATATAAGCAGGTTATTATTCCCGTTTTACAGATAAGAAAACCTAGAGACTGTAATTAAGTTTTCAAAGGCCTCTCACAGTTTTGTCGCTTCTTTCCACTGATGTCCTCCCTAGTCTTGTTCTGATGTGTGCAGGAGTAAAGATTTCTATTTTTCCATCTGGAGGAATTTCTTAGTGGCACACTCCCTTTAATCTGTGTAGAGAGCTCAAAATTTCCCTCAATTCTCTTGATCCACTCCAAAATAAGGATGTTCTGAAGATGGTCACAGACAAACAAGCAGGGGGCAGCTTTTGGTAGAAGGAGCAATAATGTCCTTCTTAGGCATCCTCTTCTCAGAAGGAATCAACATGTAGCCCATAAAAAACAGAACCCCCATCTCCATGGCTGCTTCCCAGAGCTCAGAGAACCAATCCACCTCCTCAAGTACAAGAGCAGCAAAAGAATTGGGGTTAAAATCTTAACTAGAAATTAAGGAGGTATCTTCTACTTAAGCAGATTTCAAACCGTGCTCCAAGGAATGCTGTTACATAATATATTCTATATTCTGCCTCTATTGGAAAGAAAAACATGCAAACAAACAAACAACATCCCAAGTATCCAAAACCAAAACAAAGTACTCTGCATGTGAGCAAGTTTGGAAACTCTAGATTAAATAAAGTTCAGCTTTTATACTGTTTTCATTATTAACCATTTATATGTTAATCAGCATTATGACCTCCGAAAAGGCTTTAAGTTCATTTATCATCTGCTGAAGTAGTTCGGAAATCCTGCTTCATATATCCTCCAGGTGAAGACTTGAAAAGAGCAGCTGCAGCCCAAGGCATTTGGTTGAGGATTCAGGGACTTGGAAGGCCAATTCTTTTCCGGATGTAACGACTAATAATATTTAATATACAATTTTGACCAAAAATATTTTTGCATGAACATGGCCTAATGTATTTTACTTAAGTATATCTTTATTGGTACCATATTAAGAAAAGCTTATTCCTTCTTGAAACCATGTTTAGGCATCAGTTGAGCACCTCTGAAACTCATTTTAATTTTGCAGGACTCTCAGATTATTAGGAAGCAAATATTCAATGGGGTCAACTTAGACAAGATTTCCAAAAATGTGTTCCTCAGCTTGGGTTGAAAGCTGTAAACATGTTCATTATTAATCTTCAAGAGAATAATATTTATGCGGCCCTTTTCCACTTAATTAATCATTAACACCTTTGTCCCAGAGCATCTTAAAAGGCTAGTGTTTCAAGGACTATCCATCTGTTTGAATACCATTGATAAAACCTTACTGTTTAAGTTTATTCAATTATCATGAATAATGAATTAGAGTTTTCTTTGGTCAGTTTATCTCTTCAAGATATCACTAAGCTCAGTCTTGTAAACCCTAACAAGGTCCAGTTTTGAACTAGTTACAATTTAGGAGGTTTAACTGTCATTAAGATGCGAATGACTCTTCCAGAGGACATGGACCTTGTCTTGTACATCTCTGTGATCTCCAAAGAGCTGTGCACAGAATTGACACTAAGTTCAATAAATGTTTCTTCAATATACGAAGAAATGCTCTGTTGCCACTTAAAGTGCAGAGCAGTTTTCATCTTCAAAGCACTTTATTCACATTAATTCAGCTATTTACATTTTGCTGATGGGTAAACGGCTGGAGAGGCTAAATGGGCTGTTTTAAAGGCTAGAGAGAGAAAATCCTGCCTGTCAGGAATAAAAATTTGCAATTACTGATTACCAGTCATATGTCCCTGGACTTTTGTAGGAAAAAAACAGAGGGACAAACAAAGGCCACCTAGGTAGTGGTTATCCTACTGTCAGGACAAGTCAATAGCAGGTAAAGAAACAAGTACACTAGACGGTCCAACAGCTCTATTGAACAAGTATGGGGGAAAAAAAGTTATTTTTGTTGTGGTTTTCAGTGAGTGTGTGCGTGTGTATGTGTGTGTGAGCAGTGTTGATACACACTGTGATGCAGAATTACCTTTTTCCATTTGCAATTCTAAAACAACTTCCAGGTGCCATGTGCTGTTTACAAAGGAATTGAAATACATTTGACCTCAAGCGTATTTTGCTCTGGCAAAGTGTGCTAATTGTATAGATCTAAAGGCAGCAGCAACATCATCATTTCAAAATAGACATTAAGACAATTAAAAACCCCATGTAACTCTACTGCAAAGTAAAGTTCTCATGGAGACTGTGAGGTGTGTACAGATATGCTGTGTCATACGTTTCTTTATGCGATAGTTTATGTCCCAAAACTCTTTTTTTTTTTTTTTTTAAGATGGAGTCTTGCTCTGTCGCCCAGGCTGGAGTGCAGTGGCACAATCTTGGCTCACTGCAACCTCCGCCTCCTGTGTTCACGCCATTCTCCTGCCTCAGCCTTCCGAGTATCTGGGACTACAAGGGCCCGCCACCACACCTGGCTAATTTTTTATATTTTTAGTAGAGACAGGGTTTCATCGTGTTAGCCAGGATGGTCTTGATCTCTTGACTTTGTGATCTTCCCGCCTCGGCCTCCCAAAGCGCTGAGATTACAGGCATGAGCCACCGCGACCGGCCCAGCTCTTATCTTTTTAAAATGACTTTTTTGATGTGAATTGGGGGAGGACAGAGACAAGACTTCTTGGCCATGTATTGCTTCAGTTCTCAGTTGTGTTTCTCTCTATTCCTTGGAAACCTTGACTTTCTTCCAGTAGCTTCCTGGAAGGAAAATTTGAGGAAACGTCTAATGTACATAGATACTGTGTGTATAGAGAATAGTCCAGTTAGGAAAGTACTCTATGTAAGTTCTGAAAGTCTGGATTTAGGGTCTTTTTTTTTTTTTTTTACCTTGCCATCTACTTCTTTCCACCCTGCTAAAATCTTAGTAATTAAGTCATAAGAGACATCTTCCTTTTATACCCAAAAAAACACTTGATGAGATAGAAAGGAGCTGCGTAACATTATACTTCGTTTGGGTGTATCTTAGGAAGAGATCCTGTTCCCTTAGGAAGTGCAAGGGAGGTGGTGAGGACATAGGCAATCAGGACCAAAAGTGTAGGTGCTATTCTAAAAGCAGTAATTTAGTAGTCAGGTGTCAGATGAAGACAGCAAAAAATGCAGTTTTGAGTAACTGGAGATGGCAAATCCCCATGTAGCTGGCTTAGGCTTGAACTGGCAGGTACCTGACATTCAATGCTTGAAGATGTAGGGAAAGTGGCTGAGGCAGAGTGCTGGGTAAGGGCAGGACTGAGTTGGTTGGAAATGGGCGTAAGTACAGCCTCCAGTGTGGAGGTTGCTGACAACTCAGCAATCTGGTTTCAGAGGAGGTCTGAAGAAAACTTAATGCAAGATAGTTTGTTAGATCAGAACAACCACTGAAAATTCTCCAGAGGAAATAATTGTGCTTATAACATAGGTGGAGTAGATATGCCACACCCATTTGACACCCAAATCTTCATCAGCTTGGATAGTACCAGACAGACTCTTCTTTAGGTCCACAGGGATTTTTTTAATTTCTGACAATTTCTAGATTCTAATCCAAGGTGACAACTCAAGAAAAAAATTAGTAAACTAGTTGTGTTCTGGAAAAGAAAAATAAATTAAAGCCACAGACAAGGGAGAAGAAAAACTTCTATGCTTGGCCAGGTAAAGGCAAGCTTTCTCTAGGAAGTACTTATAGTCACATAAATACTCAAGAAATCATAGACTTCTGGAGCAAGAAGGGTCTTGGTTATCATCTGGACTAACAGTTGCTATTAACAGATTAAAAAACTAAAGCCATGAGGAATTATTTTATGAAATCATACATCTAACTGACAAAATGAAGACTAGGATACATTTATTTGCTTGTGTCTAATACTCCTCTTCAATTTGGAAACCTCCAGTGAAGCAGAACACCTAATAAAAGTTAATTAGGAACAGGTACTGCTGAGACCTTCTCTAAACCCCAGGAGCAGATGCATCTCTTTCACTCGCCTGGTTACCTGAATGTAACTAAACATGCCATCTGATTGAACAAACAAACCTATTCTTGTATTTCCTGGGAAGATGAGCCCCTGGATATGAAAATCTCACACTTTTAAGGCAAAGGACTTCAAAGTAGTCCAAGGGTAAGTCAATCAGTAAAGGAATATAACTATAGACATGCACTGTGTGATCTGGTGTTAATCTAGAACTATGACATTTTTTGAAAAGCAACAAAAAGGGTGTTGAGGTATAGCTGCCAAAACCAATTAAAAGTAACCAGAAAAAAAAAAAAAAAAAAAGAGAACACTAAGCAAACAGGTTTTCCCTCACCATATTTCTAACAGAAATGCATGGCCATCATTAAGGATATTCTGCAGAACCTATTCAAGAAAGACTGCACGTGGTGGATAACCAAATAAAATTTCCTTGTACAGTCAATGTCTTGGCATGCAATGGGTCCCGAGGCATAAATGCAAACCATTAACAAAGCTTTATTAAGAAAGCCTTCACCATGCTTTGGGAAGATGTTTGATACAATTCAGGTTAAGTGCTGATCAATAACCTGGAAATCAAAAGAACCGATCACAGAAGCAAAAAAAGCAGATTTAGGCAGATTCCCAGCCCCATCCCAAATGTGAGATACTGACACCAAGCATAAGAAATCATCGCTTTTTCTCTCCCCTCCTTCCCCCATCACACATACCAATGCCTTTTCCTCTTAAGTCCCCTAGCTGCAAATATTTCTTAGTGAAGTCTATTTTACCCCTTTTACACTCACAAACTGAGTCGCAGGTTGTACATTTTGTGATACCATCATTGATGAAATTGATGAAAGCCTCTAATGGCATTAGAAAATCCTGAAATAGCACGGCTGATATATACCTGGCAGGTAATTGCTTAAAACTCCAGCAGAGATGGATGTCTAATCTATTCTTAAAAATATGAGCAGACAGATAGCAGTTCACCCCTCCACTGCCTCTTTCTTGTTCTCCCCCAACAATTCTGCTAGTTCATTTGAGTGTTTCAGACAAGAAAGCAAGAATATTATGCACCAGAATATAATGTGGCCTTTCTTGCACAGCTTCTCTTTGCAATCCCAAAGCTGCCATTTGCAGCTTCAAGCAACAGAAAAGCATGCTTACTGTTACTTAAGATTAAATTCTTGATAATAAGCAGATTTATTGACTCATGTTTTGAATACATATTTATTGAGGCACTCTACTAGATGCTGGGCAAAGTGATAACCAGAAATAGCCAGCCAGAAACACTTTCCACAAGTCATTACCAGAGATTTAAGCCACAGTAAAAAGGTGGAGGAGAATAGACGAAAGGTTTTAGGGGGAACCCCATACTCAAACTCTCCCTCAGAAAAACAATTATTAAGTCTTTTCTTACAAACTGTAGAGTAAAAGAAGCTGCCCAATCGCGGTGGCTCACGCCTGTAATCCCAGCACTTTGGGAGGCTGAGGTAGGTGGATCACGAGGTCAGGAGATCCAGACCATCCTGGCTAACACAGTGAAACCCATCTCTACTAAAAATACAAAAAATTAGCCAGGCATGGTGGCGGGCGCCTGTAGACCCAGCTACTCAGGAGGCTGAGGCGGGAGACTGGCGTGAACCTGGGAGTCAGAGCTTGCAGTGAGCTGAGATTGCACCATTGCACTCCAGCCTGGGCGACAGAGCAAGACTCCATCTCAAAAAACAAAAAACGAAAAACAAAACAAAACAAAACAAAAAAAGAAGCTGCCCAATAATGTCTGAGCAAAATGGAGGCCATGATTATTTTGGCTGTAGTGTTTTAGACTTTCATGTAGGAGAGAAGGATTCGCTAATTGGTTTTCAGTCAAATAATTCTACTGAGGAAAAAGAAGTATTCCTGAAAGAAAATTGAGACATAACATGGATAATGTAAAGCCTATATTTAATCTTGGTCAATTCCATTGTCTCATTTTCATGTAGATGTCAAACATACCAGCAAGGAGAAAATGGTTCAAAAATGCAACCCAGGGAATTGCCCTACTTTTCCTACTTGCCCAGTCTTCAATACAATAGATCTTTATTCTGTTCTCATTTTCTCTAACAAAATCTCCTTGTTCGGAAGAGTCAAAGGAATAAATGGTTGGAAGGTTAATCTCCTAATTACTTTCTCCCTTCATAAAATAATTTATTTAATTGTGGAAATTATTATGCAGCTGTAGAGGGAGAGCATATTCATTTTTTTTCAGGAAGTAGTTGAGCAAGCCTGACTTACGCCAAGAGAAAAAATAAAAATTCCTGAGAAAAATAACAAATTGTTCAAAATGAGCTGGGTTAAGTATCCAAACCAAGGAACAAGTTCATTTAAATGGTTACTCAGGAAATCTTGACGGTGATCTAAATTCAAAGTTGCTTTTGTTTTTCTAGGAGGCCTGGCTTACAGAAAGAACATGATAGGTTCCTAGGATATATCTTAATTTTGTACTTCATTTAATATTGTTAAAATAATTTTGTCTCTAATATCACAGCTTGTAATATCTCAAACAACACTGATTACTGATTGGTAATGCACCATACTCTAACAGATATTTAATCTCTATCCTCTCCTTCCCTAGAAAAGGTGTCATGGACCCCGGGATGTATTATACATTGCTTATAGCATTTTGCTGCAACTTTAAGGCAAAAAGAAAAAAAGGTCTCTGTCCTAATCAGGCATAACAGCCATGAAATCCTATGTGCAAATTGAATATCAAACTAATACTGTTTTTACTAACCAAAATCCATTATCTAAAAGTTTGAACAAGTGAAAAATAATTTATTTATTTGTTATGGTCCCAATTAATAAGATGAGAAACTTAACAGAATAAACATATGACTATCCATTTGTACACATCTAGGAATGGAAAAATGACCCACTTTAAGTACAAAAAAATGAGAATAATCTATAAAAACTAATGAATCAGTCCCTTTAACTTTGTTTATTGGAATTACAATATCAAAGCATTTCTAATTTGGGTTAAGTAAAACATACACCAAAGAATCTATAGACAGTACTTACAACACTGTCAGTTGAGTATTTGGCTTTGATATAGCTTTGAAAGGTAAAAGACAAACCAAGTAGATTTTTTTTTACTTGGGGAAGAATGTGAGAATGTGTTAAGTAGCTCAGAGTAATCATTCCATAATGTGAACAGATACCAAAACATCACAATCTACCCCATAAACATATAATATATAAAAATATTATTTGTCAATTATAAAAAGCCTATGTTAATTAAACTCAGCTGAACCCTGATATATACAAACCAGTGATGCAAATGGTGTTCACCAAGCGCATACTCTTAGTTGGTGAGCATCTGTAAACATGCTCGTTCTCAGCCTACAGCTACTACCGTTTGGAGATCACGGTCAGTAATGATGACCAGTCTAGGGAAAGTTCATGGATAGATTAAGTCACTGGGCTAGTATGGATTTGCACTGAAATTCCAAGCAAAGCCTCTTTCATTTAGTCCAAATCTTGTTCTACTTGACTGCAACTAGATTTCCCAATAGGGTCTGTCAATCAAAATTAAAAAGAAGAAATGTAATAACTTTAATTTCTTTCTAAATCTAGAGTCAGGACAAAACTTCTAAGTCATTATTAACTGGTACTCTACCAAGAATATAGCTCTCAATTATTCATTTCAGTTCTTAATTATTCCCTGTTTCAAAAAATAGCCTGCCTGCCGCTCATAAAATCATTAGCTGGAGAGAAAAGTGGGTTCAATTTTGATTGGAAGTAAAAGATATGGTAGGATGTTTGTGAAATAATGCTTGAAAAGTAATGTTTTAAAAAGAAAAAAATAAAAACTTTGTTTTGTTGTACTTCTTGTTTATAGCTTTCATGTAAAACAAACTATGGTTGTTTCAAGATGGAGCCTCACGTTCTTAGATTTGGTATGTACAAACAATTTCTCCTTTGACGGAAAATGAGACATTTTACTTTGCCAGTTACTTTGGTTTACTTGACTGGACTTGTATAATTTTAATGCAAGCTAAGCCAATTGTTTTCTAACAAAAGCTGTCATAAAAAAATTTATGCAGCCTTGGAAATGTAAACGTAAAAAAGAAATGTAAAAAAGTAAAACGTATTCATCATTTTCCTGCAAATTGAAGCTAATTACACTTAGAATTACTTGCCCTTCCACATATTTCATTTACAACCCATATGATCTTCTCAGAGTCTCATACTTAAGTTAATAAATTCAGTTGGAATTTTTAAACACATTTATAAGTATGTATATATTGGAAATAGCACCACATGTAAGGCATCTCTGAATTTTGATGAGTTGGGGGTTAGGTGGGGACATTACACAATTATTCTGGTTTCTAAGATTAAAAAAACAATCTTCCTACAAGAAAATAATGCAAACTGAAGAGAGAGAGATTCTCTACCACTCTTGAAGAAAACTTTGGGCCTTGGGGCTGAGAAGGAAAAGTAACTCAATGAGCCATTTGTAACACATTAACACTAATTCTTAAATGCTATTTGTGGTTAAAAAGAGATGAAATAGACAAATAACCTGGAAAAATCTGTGACAATAGAATTCAAATGTAAATTATCATGTCTCACTGCCCCGTTAGCTATCCAAAGGCAAAACTCCATTATTTCATTCCCCTTCTCACATCTATTACTTATTTTCCTTTCTCAATTAGTTTTAATTAATTGTTTCTTAAAGTGTACTTACACATTTAACAGTGGTTACTGTGGGCTGTGCCGCCCTCTGATTATTAGTCTTGAAGCCATCTTATGTTATTGTTCCATTCCTCACACTCAAAAGGTCCCCAAAGAACAACCTCCTGAAGTTAGGACCAATGGTCCCTTTAGTTTGTCATAAAACCAAAGTGATACATGTGTTTAATAACACAGAATGTGTGCCATAAAACCCTGATTTGAATAGTTCTTGGAAATGTAGGCCAAAGACGTCAGATGAAACGTGCCAAGTTGAGAGGTGCAGATAAAAGGTAAAGGTTTATTTTGTAAATGTGTAATATTTTGATAGTCACCAGGGAAGAAATAATGTTACTGCATGTGGACGGGCAAGGTGGCTCATACCTGTAATCCCAGCACTTTGGGAGGCCAAGGTGGGCAGATCACCTGAGGTCAGGCATTTGAGACTAGCCTAACCAACATGGTGAAACGCCATCTCTACTAAAAATACAAAAATTAGCCGGGCGTGGTGGCGTGTGCCAGTAATCCCAGCTACTTGGGAGGCCGAGACAGGAGAGTTGCTTGATCCTGGGAGGCAGAGGTTGCAGTGATCTGAGATTGTGCCACTGCACTCCAGCCAGGCAACAGAGCGAGACTTGGTATCAAAAAAAAAAAAAAAAAAAAAAGGTACTGCATGGGCCATCATGTGAACCTGAACTAATGTTATTCCATCACGTAGGATGATGGCAGTCACATCATTAATCTAAAATATTCACTAGTTTCTTGCAAGGACATTAAGTAGACAGATTCAACAATTACTTTTGCTAGATAAAGTTAGGGCAAAAGTATGACGGACAGCTGAAAAGTTCCATTCTTTTCAATGTCCCAGCAGATAAATTAGTAGCTTACCAGTAACATCAAGCATTTTAAAAAGAGAGGAAAAAACAAAACAAAACAAAACAAAACACCACCAGTAATGATCCAGTTTAATAACCTCATATATTTGGCTTGGGGTAAATATCAAGTGGTGCTGATCAGTGGAATTACAGATGTAATTGGAAATGTTAAATTTTCTTCTTACTCGACTAGTCACATAGACTATTCTATCTATACTAAGGAAACATTTATAAGATTTTTTGCAAATCGACAGAAAAGAGTCATCAAGGAAAAAATATGATAATTTATAATTCTGTTTGTTTTAATGAGGAATAATATATGTGGGAGCTGAAAATGTTAAAATATATCAAATATTTCAAATATAACAAAATATTTAATCAAAGCAAAAATTAGTTTTTTTTAAAGACTGATACATTCTTTCACCTCCATTTCAATATATATTAACTCTCCTAAAGCAAATTAGTTAATACACAGAGCATTTTTAAATGAATTATAAGGATAGCCATTCAAGAATTGTTTATCCTGGAAAAATATCAGTCACAAATTAAATGTAAAATAGTGAGCAAATGGATTAAAATATATACAGCATGAAAGATTGCTTTGTCTCTTAGGACTTCACACTTTAAAATGATTATTATTAACATTGAAATGATTTATATCAGTGAAGGCAGACATACACCTGACTTCAGGGACCAATACAATAGAGAGTATTTTTGAAAAATGTATATTCTCTAGACTTGCTGATTTAAACCTCAGCTTGTGACCAAGAATTTTCATTTTTCAGAACCTGACCATGTTACTCTTCTTATCACCGAAATCTGATAACCACTGCAGTACCAACTTCAGGATGTTCCTAGATACCTTTGGATATGTTAAAGGAATCCTAAGATGGTTGAGGGCACTCCACATTTATCTAAGCCTTTAGAACAACAATCACAAAGTCCAGTGACTACAGAGGCCAGACTTTAAAAAGGAATAGGGAGAAATAAAGTATTGCCGACAGGAGAGAGCCTTCCCTGTTTCAAGGCAGTAGCAACTATTCACTTCCATTCGATACTCTCCTACAGAAATGTAGACCACTTTGTTCGATATTCTGAGCTTTTTTCTCTCTCTTTTTTTTTTTTAATAGTAGAGATGTTGATGTTTATGTGAAACATTCTGATTTTCAAATGTTGGCAACCAGTTTCGAATATTTTCAGTGTGCAACCAAGCACTATGCTTGCAAATAAAACACAGGTATGGGAAGGCTCTGACTGAAGGACAATTAATTTACAATATCTGATTGTGGTAAACTATCTGAAAGATATAGAATATTATGTTCTGCATATATATGTGTTCGTGTGTGTGTGTATATATATATATAAAACAACTACAAAAAATTATATTCATATGTATATACGTATAATTTTCTTCTTTCTGTGTTTACATATATAAAGCACAGATTGACAAGCTGGCTTATTAATACTAGGTGTAGATATTTTGAAAGAGATAAACAAATAGTATTGAACGTATCTAAACAGACAGCCAAATCAACAAGTTGAATGGCAACAAGTAAGACGTACACTCTATGACAGTGACTAAATTAACCAAGAGTTACAGATAAGAGAGTGATTAGCATGCGATAAGAACATTATAGAGGACTACCTAGAGAAGGCAAGGTTTAAATTGGGCCATGTGCTGGGAAACCTGGATATCTATATGCAGAAGAATTACATTAGATCCCTATCTCTCATCATATACAAAATTCAACTCTAAAAACAATAAAGATTTAAAGGCAAGACCTGAAAATATGAAACTACTAGAAAAAAACATAGGGAAAACACTCTAAGACATTGGTCTAGGCAAAGATTTTACGGCTAAGTCCTCAGAAACACAGGGAACAAAAACAAAAAGAGATAACTGGGACTGTATTAAACTAAAAGCTTCTGTATACCAAAGGAAAAAATCAATAGAATGAAGAGACAACCTGCTGAATGGAAGAAAATATTTGCAAACTATTCATCCAAGGGACTAATATCCAGAATAAACAAGGAGCTGAAACAATTCAATAGCAAAAAGCCAAATAAACACGTTAAAGAGTGGACAAAGAATCTGAAAAGACATTTACTTAAAGAAGACATACAAACAGCCAACAGGTATATGAAAAAGTGTTCAATATAACTAATCATCAGGGAAATATGAAAATCCAAACCTCCATCAGATATCCTTACCCCCGTTAGAATGTCTACCATCTAAAAGACAAAACAGATGCTGGTGAGGATGTGGAGAAAAGGCAATTCTTACACATTGTTGGTGGGGATGTAAATTAGTACAGCCATTATGGAAAACAATACGTAGATTTCTCAAACACTAAAAAGAGAGCTATTACATGATTCAGCAATCCCACTACTGGGTATTTATCCAAAGGAAAGGAAATCAGTTCAAAGGAATACCTGTCCCCCTATCACCATGTTTGTTGCAGTAATATTCACAATAGCAAAGACATGGAATCAATCAAAGTATCCGTCAACAGGTAAATGGATAAAGAAGTGGTGGTATATGTACACAGTGGAATACTCTTGGGTCATAAAAAAGAATCAAAACCTGTCTTTTGCAGCAACATGAATGAAACTGAAGGGCATTATGTTAGGTGAAATAAGCTAGGCACAGATAGACAAATATCACATGTTCTCACACATATGTGGGAGCTAAAAAAGTTGATCTTATGGAGGTGGAGAGTATAATGATAGATACCAGAGGCTGAGAAGGGTGTTCATGTGTAGAAAGGGGGTGAAGAGAGGTAGGACAGGGGGTATAAACATACAGTTAGATGGAAGAAATATGTTCTAATGTTTGATAGCACAGTAGGGTGACTATAGTTAATAAAATTGCATTTTATATTTCAAAATAGCTAGAAGAGAGGATTTGAAACATTCCCAACACATAAAAATGATAAAAGCTCAAGGTGATGAATATCATAAATCCCCCTGACTTGATCGTTACACATTCTATACATATAACAAAATATCACATGTACCCAGTAAATATGTATAAAAATGTATATCAATTAAAAAAATCAAACCATGAAAGCTAATTAAGTTTAAAAAATGATTTCATATAACTTTAGTAAGAAATACTTTAAAATTCCTTAATGCTAAAAAATTTATCAGACCAGTTAATATATAAATTTTAGTTATATAAGCATTTAAAAATTTAGAAATATTAAAAACTGGAAATAATTAAAAATCAAGATAGGTTGGACTTAAGAGGTGTGGCATTAAGGGAGATCAGATACAACAGACTGAGCAAAAGCAAGAAGGTGAGAATAAAGCGAAACCCAGGCATAGAACCTACAAAGAATACAGTAAGAAGTCACCAGAAATGTCAAGCAGACTGTTTGCCAGTCTGAACTATCACCCTATCCCCGTAACAGAATTCCATGAAAAACTAAGAAAAAATAATATGACAAAATATATGTTTTATTTCCTTCTTTATGAGCCTGTTTGGTTAACATTTTATACCATGCAATGTTAGGTTGAGAACTAAACCAAGAAATATGAACACAGGAATGGAAAATAGAAAGAAGGAAAGAAGGAAAGGAGAGGAAGAGAAAGGTAGTAAGGAGGGAAGGAAGGAATGAAGAAAGAAAAATAAAAGAGAATGAGGAAATAAAGAAGAAAAATGTAATGCACCATGAAAAGGAGATACATATACAAATATGCAAAGGGACATGCAGAAAAGAAACATTGACCAATTAATCTCATTAATGGGTACAGCTCGAAAACTAATGTGCTTAAGTACAGAGGGAACAATTTAGGATAAATAATATGAAAGAACTTTATAGTTATGTAAGAACACTCAGGCAATGGATCATGCTATCGAGGGAATTTAGAGACACTCTTGGCTGGAAGACACTAATTTATTATGCGCTGATTTAAGTATAATTAAAATCAACCTAGATATTAAACAAGGGAAACGATATGTAACTTTTAGATATCCATTTATTACCTAAGGACAGAGAGAGCAGCAAATGTGCAAATGTTCTACAGCCAGATTAATCTTCCTTTAAAAAGCTCCCATTCATAATATCACTCCCTTTTGAAAATACTTTAATTGACTCTACATGATCCATCCAAATTCATAAGTGGAGTATTCAATATCCATAGTCTGGCTTTACCCTACTGTTTCAATCATGCCTCCCACTTCTTCTAGATGCTGGCCATCTACACTCATTAGGTTGATCTACTCCCCATACTTTAGGGTGCACAATGTTTGCCCAGCGTAATTGCTCAGTGATTTTTTAATGGATTTACTGATTAAGCTTCAAAGGCATTTCCAACTCCACAGAATGTATGCTAATTCTAACGTTACCCGTATAGAATACTAAAAAAAAATTTTAACATTCTCCAAAACTATGGCTATATTTTTCTCCTCTTCCATTTTCATCCTTAGGATGGTTTTCCAAAGTAAAACACTGGCCTGTGAAAGCTACTGAAATAATCTTGGTTTCTTCAGTAAGAAATAAATTATTCACTATCATCCCCACTCCAATGCAATCATAGCAGAATTATCTTTCAAATTATAGCCACATGGTTTCTGAAGACTAATGAAGAGGCTCAGCCCAGGAGACAGTTTTGGGATCCAAAAAATACCTTTCAGTTTCTGCTCTTTCTAATTCGGACAGTAGCAATGAGGCCACACTGATTCAACTGGTAAGCTTCCTTCATATTTTTCATTGTTGTTTTTTCCCTTAGTTTCAAGCCCTACCTGAGCCTTGCCCACGCTACCACCACTCTGTCTGAATTTTTGCACCTTTATTTCATCCAGGTTGATACTCACAGCCCCTGAGTTTTCCTGACTGTCTAAGACAACAGTCTAAAAGTGAAACCAGAAAGCTAGGGGGGAGAAACAGTGTCACACAAAAATTCTGGCAGATACTGCCACCTACAGGGATTATAAGGTCATCCCCAACTCAATCTCCTAAAAAATCACTCATTTATAATAGAGGGGGAAACTGGGCATATTTGAACTACACGGATAAAGAAGAAGCCAATTTCATCAAATGATAACCTTTGATTTAGTGTATGGAATAATTATATATGTATATATGTATGTATGTATATGCATATGTAAATCAATCATTAAACAGGGCCAATAAAAACAGGGCTGTAAGAAAGAAAATTAAAGGAGAAATATCAGGTTGTGCCAGTCGATAATTTCTGTTACTAGAAATTATTAAAAATCATATTGGACGAGTTGATTACCTATTTTTGGTTCTATATGCTCTTGAAAAGTTTATGTAACACTGTATACAACATGATAGAATATTTACCTATAACCAAGGTGTCTAGGGGTTGACATTTTTATCCTATAATATTTGAAACTTAAAATTATATTTTAGTTATTCACAAATAATTCATTAAAATTCATAAACTAAATGATAAACTATATCATTCCTGAAATAACTAATATAAATGTAGCTATTTAAAATATGAGATGCTGGCTATTTCTGTGATGATTTAATGCCATGTTAACAAATATAGAGAAGAAAATAGTATAAAAGCATATTTTTAGTATTTACTGTTTAAAAAACCTTTAGATCTATGATTTTTAAAAACTGCATTTGAAAATAATTACAAACATATAGAAAAGGTGCAAAAAAAGCACAAAACATCCCTTTACCCAAGTTCACCTATTACTAAAATTTAACACTAGGATTTTTCTCAATTTATTTAATTTTTTTCTCTCTCTGTCCACACAAATACACACACACACACAGAAATTGTTTTTTTTCCTGAACCATTTGATGGTGAATTACATACATCATGGCGCTTTACCTCTTAAATATTGTGTATTTCCTAATAATAATATCGTCTTACATAATCATAATGTTACCAACCAAATAATCTAATCTAAAAAGTAGATTATTTGATCTCATCTACAATCTATTTCCCCATTTCCTGTCAATTGATCCAGAAATATCTTCACGCTATCTCCCCCTCCAGAACAAGACCCAGTCTAGGAAAGCTATAATCTTTGAATCTGCTTTTTTAGGGGAGAAGAAGGAAGAGATTCCTTATTTTTTAGCTGCGTAGGCTCTTAGCTGTGTCACCATTGCAACCAAATGGCTTGAGTGTGACAACTCCCATTCATCTTTTTGGTCTACCTTTTCCTTTAATACATCTTGGAGTCAGAAGATGGATAATAAATTATTTTGGAATTATAGATGGGTAATATTTAATGCCCAATATAAGAAGGACTGAAGACTTCTAAGGTTTGAGGGCAGATGATTTTTTTTGCATGCATTTGACAGCTCAATTGATTTTTACTTCTTCATAAGTTACCTAAGTGCTATGGATAGGTGATATGGTACTACTTTAGGTGTTGATAACTGAATTATGTCAGTAGTCTAGGGATGACAAATAGCCAGAAAAAAAAAATTCATTAGTTTCCCCAAATTGGTAAACAGTTTTTGGGAAATTGGAAGAATAATATGAGTGTCATGGAGACACTATCGGCTAAATTGACAATCAGTAAGAATTAGGTAACTGAAAACCTAGCTCTTTAAGTGTGTATGAGAGGAGAGAAGGCGGGTTAAACTGGCAGTTATAATTACCATGATTCATTCAAAAGTATGAACTGCAGTAGTTACTATGCATTTCCAAGTAGATTTTCAAAACTCCTAAATTGGTGGGAGTCTAAATTCGTTCAACCATTGTGGAAGAGAGTGTGGTGATTCCTCAAGGATCTAGAACTAGAAATACCATTTGACCCAGCAATCCCATTACTGGGTATATACCCAAAGGATTACAAATCATCCTTCTATAAAGACACATGCACATGGATGTTTACTGCAGCACTATTCACAATAGCAAAGACTTGGAACCAATCCAATTGCCCATCAATGATAGACTGGATAAAGAAAATATGGCACACATTTGTTAGATTATATAGAGTAATGCTAAATATTTAAATCAGCAAATCATCTGTTCCATTATAGTTTTTTAAATGATTATTTTGCCACTACCCAAGGATGCTGTGAAAATAAATGATAAGATATTCTATCAACAAACAATGAGGCTTTCAATTAAAGCTGATTATAACTTACTTTTAATGTATATTGCTATTATACTTAGGCTAAAAAACCAGTTTACGTTAACATAGTTTTTATGTTAGGCTAAACATCAATATACACAGGCCAAGTTTTCTTTGAATAATCTTCTTTTGTTAATGAATGGTCCAAATCTTTACCCCACCTAAAATTCCTTTCTTTGTGTTTTTTACCCATTGAAATTCTGTATCGTCATACTTAGGTCAGTCTTCTGGGAAGTCTTTTCTGAAGGTTTCAATTTATTCCTCTTAAGAATTTATTTTGCATTTATGCATTCTAACACTCATTTTCACATTACCACTTCATGTTGTAAAATTTTCAAGTAATTTTAGACCCTACATAAATAATTCCCTAAGAATAATTTTGTTAATTTTATCCTATTTTGTTTCCCCTGTAACACTCAGTACAAATGCTCTCTGATTGGTGGGTCCTCTATAATAGTTGGCTATTTCAGATGAATGGTAAAAGACCCCTCTCACATCTGGGATCATCAGGAGGTCAGAGTTTCAGCAAGCATTGCAGTTATGCAAATTTCTATTTGTTACTATTACAATAATTGCTAGCAGCTAGAAGAAGCTAGAGTAATGATGTATTTTTTCAAATAAGTGCCTTAGAAGATTCCTAGGAAAAGCTAATTGCAAACACCTAGGAGAGAAGGCATATGCATTATCTTTATCTGTATAGCCAGAGTCCTACTAGTTACAGAGTGGCAAAGAAGCAGCATCCAAATAACTTGTCTTAGGTATTTGTGAATAACTAAAAATTTAGATAATTGCATTTGAAAATACCATATTTTAGTGCATTCTATATGTGGGGTCCACCTCTGAACACTTGCATCCCTAGAGTTAAAGAGAGCTAGAAAGGACAAATGGACAACAGACAGCGTCTCTGCAGACGAGGTGATTCTTTGAGATGTTATTAAAATGAGTGCTGTTCAACTACGTGATTGACTGTAATATGAAGTCACGTGTGGAAAAAACAAAACTACACCCTGCATTATAAACACCATTCTAGTGATAAGACATCCTCTAACCCACTTGTAAAATTAAGAAGATAAAAACCACTTAGTTAGATTTGGCTTAACCATAGTTAAAACAAGTTTCTAACATGAAGTAAACCTTAACCACAGGCTTCTTCTTTCAGAAAAGCAAATACAAAACAGTTATAGCTAGAAATCCCATGGTGTCTTTTAAAGTACTGAAAGTTTTCAGACTATATTGCTGAAGCCTGTTGCATGTAGCCTATGCATGTAGCTGCTTGTCTCCTGTAGGAATCCTAGCTTACAAAGTCTAGATGTGAAATAGGTCCTGGGTTGAGTGGGGCATCTATAAGTTAAAAATATTTTCAACTGTGTAGAGTTCTACAGGTTCTCCAGTCTTATGATTGGGAGAATGGTGCTTGCTGACTGTCAGATGCTTCTATTCTCACATCCATCTTAATAATATATTCACACAAGCATATGCTGTTAAATAAACAAAAGCAGTACTGATGATGATCTGGTATCTGTGAGTGTGAAACTAATTTTTTTTTAAGTTGTAAGTCATTTGCAACCTAGACACTTACAGAGATTATTGGGGTAAAATTGTGGACTCTAGAGGCAACAGCTCCACCATTTATTGATTACATGACTAGCAAGTTACTTAACCTCTGTTTATGTCAGTTTCCTCATTTATAAATCCAAAGCTAATATTAGCTTCTACTTCATGAAGTCTCTATAAGGAGTATGCTTTTTACTCAAGCAGAGCACTTGCTACATTGCTCAAACAATATTAGCTTGTCTTAATACCATTACACAAATACATGAAGGGCAAAAAAAAACAAAGTCTAATTTCTCCAATAAACAAATTGCTCATGTCATCAATCTAATCACCATTTGATTGAGTTTAGTTGTTTTTCTTTTCCTGAACACAGGTCCATTGCTAGACATGCACTTGCTTATCCAGAGGGCCAATCAGATTTCTGAAAAAGTTCCAAGTTTTGGCATATTCCTCTCTTTCTCTTTGACTGACTGACCCATGATTCAGAATTGCAATCACAAAGTGCCCCTGATGCTACTGTTCACACTGTCAGAGGATAGAAACACACAAAGTTTAATCAGATTCTCAGTAGCAATGTGATGTCAATCGGGATGATTAAATACCAGCCATTCTAAGCCTGCCTTGCAATTGTTGTCTGAGAATTCACCTGAGTCCTAAGGAATGTGATAATCCTAGGTCTGCAGAGTACACTGACCCAGAGAAAGACCACTGACAACATCTACATCTACCTTTCTTTTGGTATGGGGGTGCCAGAGAGGGTTAAATTTACAGTGTGTATAATCATCTCTGGGTTGAAAGTCTATTTGCCAGGTTCATATTAACAATATGTTTTCTCTAAGAGCATAGCATAAAGTAGTGAAAATAGAGGTCTTTCAGCAATGCATGGCTTTTGCCTACAGCAGCAGAGAGGGAAGGTGGAAAGTCATTGCTATGAAAGAGGCTATTTGTTGTTTATAAAGCATAATTTTTAAAGATAAATTGCTGGAAACATCGATGCCATGAACATAAGTAGACATTGTTCACTTTATGGAATCCATTTTATATCCATTTGCGCTGCCTGCTTATGAAAGGAATAAAGGGAGAATTTCAGAAATGGCTAAGCAAAAAAGACAAAGGGTGGCCATTTTGTTAAAGTTTTACCATCCAAGAAAGTGCTGGCAAAGAAGTGGAGATATATCCACACCAAATTGTCACCACTACTGATAAATAACTCAGAGAACTGATCTATATAGGTGACAAATCAAAATGGATATTTGCATACAAAGAGAAGCAAATGATATGGAATACCATATCATATCCTCATGACCTAGTGTCAATGTGACTATGATGGAAGCCATAAGTGACACCCTCAGCAAAATAATTCGAATTCATTCTAGTGCTCCTGGGCTCCCATAGCACCTTGTATATACCTCTTTGATAAAACTTACTATGTTTTACTCTTCCTCCTTACCCAGCTAGCTTTTACACTAAACTGTGAGCTATTTGGGAATAGAGATTTTACTTTCCTTATCTTTATATATACATAGATTTATCTCAGTGCCAAGCACATAATAAACACCAAAAATGTTGAATATTGATTGGATTCTGTGCTTTCATCTTTGGTGACTAGTTTAATTGAAAAAAAAAGCAGTAGTTCTGACTCAAGAGAAGACTTGAGCCCCCAGAAATAGGCTTGTTTTCATTATTATCTGTAAGTATTCCAGTATGTTAACCATGCCATTTAACTCACTGCCTGTATGTAGCCATATGCATATCAGCTGAACTATTGATGCCAAATGAAAGTGGGATTATATAATTCAAACCACCCCTTGGGTTTAAATTTGGTCCAAGACTTGCACTCTTTATATTTCTTATTTTTTTTCCTTCTATTAGTGAATTTCTCCATTACTCCTGGGGAAATAGATAATTCTCCTTTAAGTAGATTCAATTACTGTAAAGAAATCACACTTGATCACTTTGAGGAGATCTAAGCTTTGCTCAAACTACAATTCAATGAGCTGACCTAGAGTTAATCACCTTTTACTCATTCATTTATCAAAGAGACAAGCACAACAATGGATGGATTTTGGCATGCAGTCTTCATGCATGCACCACATTAATTAATTCCTATTAAGGAGGTTTTACCAGCACTTGCAATGAACACTAACACTTATAAAGACAGCACAGTCCACATTCTTGCTGTTCTGTCTACACTTAGACATCAGAACTAGCAAAGGATGTATTGTCTATTTTTTTCTACATAAAATAAAGCTTACTACTTTGTGCAAACCACTTACCTACTGATAAGTCCACACTCTGCTAGTTTCAGTGTTCTCCTAAAGAAGCAAAAGTATATTACTGCTAAATGTTCCTGTAAGGACTAATTTCCAGTGAGGTGTATCTGTCATTTTGTACATCTTTACAATTTCTGAACTGCAGAAAGATAACAGGTTTTGTAGAATAAAGAAGAATCATTTAGGAATTAGGTGTTAGATACCTATCTATATTTTTTTGTTTCTACTCAGTATCACATTTATCTTCTGCGATTTATAAAACTATACCTCCTTTTACAGGAACATGATGCTTCCCATATCACATCCAAATGGAGCCCATAGGGATTGCTATGTTCTTACATGACCATACACCCCTGGCCAGAGTTGGTAGATTGAGGAGTAGGCTCAAACTGGGCCAAACACAGTACCTTACCTCCCTGAACACATTTGATTGGTCCAGGAGTGGGTACCTCACTTAGCCCACTGCATCTAGAGCCAAGTGTCTATTCCCATCTTTATCCTGGGATATTTGGATTTTAGATGGTATCTTCAAAAAACTCAGATTTGTTTCCCACAGGGGCTAAAGATTTATGCAATAAAACTTAAGAGTTCTCAGAAACTAAGTTTTTCACCTCAAGGAAAAGCCTAGTCTGCAGTGAAACCAAATGAAGCTGACAAGCTGAGAGAGGCAAAGAGGAAAACCAGATTGATTTCTGACAGTGCCTGAATCCCGAGGGCTGGACTTCACCACTCTTCTTTCCTCAGCTTTGTTATTTAAGGTTTCTTTCCATTCTGGGAGCCAATAAATCTCCCCCTTTGCTTAAATACTTCAGGCTGCCTTTCTGACAGTTACAAACCAAACAATTCTAATCATATTCATTAATAGTGCACACTAAAACACACTGTCAAAGACAGTTACATTTCAGACTCTTCAAAAAAAAATCAATGAAAGTGACAGAAGTTTAAAATAGGATATCAGTATGCACCAGTATAGCATTCTTATTTCCCCATGTTTCTTCTCTAATCACCCTACTAGATTTTCATAGAGTGTTTAATATGAGGGAAACAGGGGAGGTTAGGCCTCAGGCTTCTAGTTTCTAATGTATTTATAGGGAAAGAAACAATTGTAAACTAGTACCAAAAGCTCCAAAGCTTTAAAACAAGCAAATAAAAAAAAATCAATAAATAATATGGGATAGAAACAGAAAGTAGATTAGTGGCTGCCTGGGACTGGGTGTGGGAACTGAGAATGACTAAAAATGGGTATGAGGTTTCTTTTTGCCTGATGGATACATTCTAAAGTTGGATTGTGGCAATGGTTGCAATTACTTAGTAAGTTTACTAAAAATTAGATAACTGTATACTTTAAAAATTAGTGAGTTTTATGGTATGAAAACTATACTTCAATGCAGCTGTAAAATAGGCAAATAAAGCAAACAAAAATAGAAATAAAGAGTATGAGCAATTCTACAGATTTTAAGCAGCTAGAGAAAATGATTACCAATAATAATCTTTAGGAATTAAAATTAACACCAATAGAAGCAGCATGCTGTAAATGTAAATATAGTTCAATATTTCATTTTTAATTTTTTCTTATTGTGGTATAATATACATAACATAAAATATACTGTCTTAACCATTTTAAGTATACAGTTCAGTGGTACTAAGTGCACTCATATTGTTGTACAACGGTCACCACCATGCATCTCAATAACTCTTTCTATCTGGCAAAACTCTATTCCCACTAAACAATAACTACCCATTTCCTCTCTCTCCAGCCTCTGGCAATCATCATTCTACCTTCTGTTTCTATAATTTTCACTACTCTAGGTACATTATATAAGTAGAATCATACAGTATTTGTCTTTTCATGACTAGATTATTTTACTTATGACAATGTTCTCAAGGTTCATCCATGAACCCTGCATATGTCAGAATTTCTTTCCTTTTAAAGGCTGAATAATGTTCCATTGTATGTATACAGTAGTCCCTCCTTAACCACAGGGAATATGTTCCAAGGCCCCCAGTGCACACCTGAAATAAGGCATAGTAACAAACCCTACTTACACTATGTTTCCCGCAGCTTTTATTTATCTGGGAATATCTTAATTTCTCCTTCACTTTCAAAGAACAGTTTTGCCAGATATAGGATTCTTGGTTCACAGTTTTGTTTTGCTTTATTTTTTTATTTTGGCACTTTGAATATATCAGCCCATTGCCTTCTGGCCTTCAAAGTTTCTGAAGAGAAATCTTAGCTAATCTTATTAAGGATGACATGTATGAATGACTTGCTTCTCTCTCACTACTTTTAAGATCCTCTCTTTGTCTTTTGACGGTTTGATTCTAATATGACTCAGTGGTTTCCCTTTGAATTCATCCTACTTTACATGTTTTGAATTTCTTGGAGTTTTATATTTATGTTTTCATTGAACTTGGGAAATTTTCAGGTATTATTTTTTTCAAATAATCTCTGTCCCTTTCTCCTTCTCTTCTCCCTCTGAGACTTCCAAAATGTGTGTGTTCATTTGTTTGATGGTGTTCTATAGGTTCCTTAGGCACTATTTACTTTTCTCCAATCATTTTTTACTTTCTGTTCCTCAGACTCAGTAATTTCAATAGGTAAAAATCTTGACCTATCTTCAAGCTCAGTAGTTCTTCCTCCTGTCTGCTCAGTTCTGTATTTTATTCCCTCTAGTAAATTTTTCATGTTAGTTATTTTATTTTTCAGCTCTAGAACTTGTTTGCAATTTTTAAGATTTTCTACGTCTTTGTTGCTATTTCCATTTTGTTCATTCATAGTTTTTTTCTTAATTTCTTCCTTTATTCTTAGAGCATTTTTAAGACAATTGTTTTAAAGTCTTTGTCTAGTAAGTTTGCCATCTGGTTTTTCTCTGGCACAGTTTCTATTTTTTTTTCCTTTAAATGAGTCATACTTTTTCCCAATTCTTTATATGTAATTTTTTTTTTGTTGAAAAATGGACATTTGAATTTAATGATATGGCAACTCTGGAAATCAGATTACCTCCCTTCCTAAGGATTGCTGTTTTTTGGTTTGACTTTTCATTTTTGTTCTTTTGGGTTCTTCTGATTGTTGCAGGCTGTCTTTGAGCCAGGGATCAGCCTGAGCTATAAATTTGAGGTCTTCTCAAGTTTATTCTGGGCTCATGCCTTTCCCTGAGTATGCACACCGACTTTCTAATTTCCTCTGCATATGCAGTTGCTTTTGAATGTCTAAATCTTTATTTTCTGGCTCCAAAAAAAGAAAGAAGAAAAGAAAAGAAGAAAAATAAAGTGTGTGTGGGAAAGTTACCAGGCCTTTAAATCCTCCTCTTAGCTGGAGGGAAGAAGGGTTTGCAACAATGAGGAGAGGGTGAAATGATGAGTCCCCACCTCTGTATCTGCACCTACATGGTCAGAGACAGTAGTCAGAAATCAAAACACAGGTCTCTGGTATTTGACACTTTGAGTCTTATTTGTCCATCATGGCTTCTACAAGCTGCATGCAAGCCTAACACAGTATGGGGAGTAGAGAAGATAGATAGTTGCTGCTAAACTAAAACTGACTAAAATTAACCATAATTTATCATCCAAGTCTTCCCTTAGAAGTTATACACCTTTAATAGACTCCAGAGATTAAAAATAGTTACTTCAGACAGATTGTATCAGTGCAATTATTGTCTATATAAAAAGACAGATTCCTGGTGCTTCCTTTTTTTAGATCTTCCCAGACTCCTCTTTGAAGATTATTTTTTATCCTAATCTACATATAGTTTCTTCAGATAAAGATCTGAATAAAAAAAAGACTACGCATTGAGTACAATGTATACTGCTCGGGTGATGAGTGCACCAAAATCTCAGAAATCATCACTAAATCATTATTAAGAACTTATTCATGTAACCAAATACCACCTGCTCCCTAAAAACCTATTAAAATTAAACAAAAAAAACAGTGTGGAAAAAATTAAGAAGCATGGGAATTGTAAATAATCAAGGATGTATAATATCTATGAATTTTATAAGATACAATGAGATAAATAGAAAACCTTAGACAGCTTTCTATCCGGTAAAAACAAATGGAATTGACCATCTATTGTTAAAAAAAGGACAGTTCTAAAGATCAGAGGTCAACTGTGAGTGATGTGAGAATATAATTAGCCACAGAATATTATAGTACTTCAATAAAGAAAGGCTCCTATAGTTAAAAACATACAAGTCAGACAAAGGAAGAACAATACATCTATGATCCATAAAGAATTAATAAAGCAGAACAAAAAGGTATTCTGCAGATATAATTTGCCTGGATGTTTTGCAAAAACTTTTATGAAGAATTTTTCAAAAGAAAGTCATGGAAAATAAAGACCAAGGAGGATTTTGAATACAAATTAAAATTTCATTGTTTGAGATCAAAGAGTATACCTCTAATAAGCATTAAGAAAAAAAAGCATTTAAATGTAAGCATTTTAATGTATTAAAATTATTAAGATCACTGTTGCCCAATAGATTATATTAAACAACCTTAACTTAAAATGAAAAAATTGAATAAAAGTATAAAATCATTCAAAATTGTATCTATAGTGGAATTTCATCAAAGCTGTAAAATAACTCTAATTACCAAAATTATATCTATTTTTTAAACCTGTTTTCCTATTTAAGTTGATTACTCCGTGAGGTAATTTTTACTGCCCCAGTAATGCGATTCAAGTTTTTTACATCTTTCCACAGATTCTTTTATTATGGAAAGAAGACACTAAAATACTATCCAGTTGAAAATGTAATTCCTTTCTTAATATATCCCAGGTTATTTTTGTTAGTAAGTGAAGTATTCAGGGAAAATATCTCTAGCATCCCCAAGTCTATAGAGTAGTGTGGGTAATGACCAATAAGGAACTATTTTGGGGTACATTCATTTATTATTTTGCTTGGGGCCCTCAGGCATACATATACACTTCCCTATCCCTAAAATACAAAATCTGCTACCCAAGAACAATTAAGAAAAAAAAAAAGAAGAAAGGAGGGACGAATTATGATAATTTAATTACAATGCTGACAAATGTATACATGAAGTTCAAAGGTTATTCTCATATGCTCCTTCTAAGAGTACAAATTGTTATATAATTTGGTAAGATCCTTCTCTAGAATAAAAAACAATACAAGTTTAAAGCTTTAAGATTGGATAGTATTTTTGATCCTGTTTTTTTCCACCCTGACATTTATTTTAATAAATACATGATGCATATGTAGAATATTTTATCTAAAAAGATGTTAGCCACCTTTTTCCTTATAACAGTGAAAAACGGAAACCTCTGCCTATAAGTAAGAGATGCATAAAATAAGTATGGTGTATTCATATAAACTATATGCAACTAATAAAAATGATGGCCAAAGTTTTCACAGTAGACTGAGCAAAAAACTATGAGACAGTACACACATTTCTACTGTTTAAAAAAAAGTAGACATTTGTAAATTTGTACAAAAAGTAGAATGTTCTTAAAAAAGTAGAAATTTATTTGCATATTTAAGTTGACAAATTTGTTAACTTAAAAATCTAAGTTAATTCACATGCAAATAAATACATCTAGAATTATATATATATCAATATGTTTTTAGCATTTATCTCTGGATGGTGAGATTATAAATTATTTTACTTTGTTCTTTGCTTCTCTTTGTATTCTATAAAGTTCCTACAATAAATACATATTACTTTTGGAATAAAAAAGGAATAAAGGTTATTTCTAAAGTTAAAGTAAAAAAATTAACAGTCATATAATGTAAAATGAATGTGAAGATACCCTGAAAATACAGAGTAAAGGGATCTCTCTCTAGGTAGTAAAACCAAGGGCTAAGTCTTTTTAGAGGCCCCATTAAATAAGTAGGATAGCAAGTAATACAGTGTATGAGAAAGGGCAAAGGTCTCAGCACTAGCGTGCCTGTGTTTTAGGTTAGGTTTTACCATTTAGTGGTTAAAGACTTTGGGTAATCATTGTTTGACTTTTCTTACTTTATTTTTTGTCCACCTATAAAAAATTACGTAAATGGTTCCTTGCCTTTTATCTTACGGGTTACCTCAATGTTCAAACATGTGCATGAATGTGGACACATTTTATAACTATAAAGCAATAATGTAAGTTTATTAAAAAGTTGTTAAAATAACATTAAGGAGAAAAGCAGACAACCAAATAATAGCACAATTCAGTGAAAAAAGAAAAAAATAAACCAATACAATGTAAAGTTTCACACGCCATGTTTTAATCCTTATCTAGTTCCTTCATTGAAAGGAAATTATATGAGTATGTAAGATAACTATCAAATCCTACCCTTTTCCTAAAACATCCCCTTTCAAGTCAGTTGCAAGTAAACTCTTAACAACAACCACAGTACTGCTATTGGTTTGAATTACCTGCAACATGTAAAGCATATATGCGATTCACAAACCACTAAAGTGCTATAAGAAAATGTCCTTTTGGTTGTCTCTTATGTACCACACAAATGCTAAAAGAACAATAACAACTAATATTTTCATTGAAAGTCTATTATGTCCCTGGGGCTGTACTAAGTGCTTTGTATGTATTATCTTAGTTAAACCATTTAACCATCTTCTTAAGTAGGTGTTATTAAGTAGCCAATTCAAAGACACATAGAGGTACACAGGTGGGGCAGGCATTAAAGCCTATGTGCTTAATCACTACATAAAATGCCTTCTGTTTTGCAATATGAATGGATATTGTGGTGAATAAGATATGGGCTCTGTCTCTAAGGCTACTGACATTTAACAGTGGAGGTAAGATATGCATGCATTCCCAAACAAAATTCAAGTTGAGATCATTTGGACTTCTCTCTAAGAGTAGTTGGCATTGTATCTGCGTCTTAACTTTAAGCGTTTTCACCAGTCATTCAGGCACAGAAAGTTATATATGTAAAGACAGAATATAAAAAAGATAAGCATAGGCGTTTATAATATTTACATATGAAATTATGTATGCAATATACACATTACATATTATTCCAGGAATACGTATTTTATTCATGAGCCAACATTATGCTACTTGAGGGCAGAATGTGACCAATTCTTATTACAAGACTTTCACATAATATAGGACTTACACACTCAGAGGCAGATGCTGAATAAATGCCCTGAGCTGTGTTTTTAAGAATATTTGTTTCAAGGTACGAACATGACAGATTTGGCCATAGGGAAGGTGAAGCAGGGGAAAGGCTAGTAAGATAGACGAAATGTTGTCCAGCAGCAGAAATGGAGGCAGTAAGAATGGAGAGGAAGAAACAATGCAAATAAAGTCCACCAGCGTTGGGCAGTCTGTAGTGAGAAAAGTTTAAAGATCTCTTTTAAAGTGGCACTCTGGATTTCCAAGGAAAACACTCTATTGTCAAGTAAAGTGAATGTGTTGCTTGGTAGGATGATCTTCTGAACACATTGAATTTGAGGTATTGAGGGGCCATTTCATGACTGGGATTAGAGCTGGGGATATGGATTTAGGAGTAATCCCCCGAGAGTGGATAGATGAAACCTTGGGAGTAGCTAGTAGGGGAGAGAAACAAGGAGGGCAATTATAAAAAAAAAGAAATGAAGCTGCTGGAGAAAGATCCTTCAGGAATATTTATAAGAAGTTGAGTGTGTGTGTGTGTGTGTGTGTGTGTGTGTGTGTGTGTGTGTGTAGGGGGAGTCAAATTAGAGGAAGGAATTAAAGGGTCACAAGAATCTATCCATTTTCCACCACATCTGATCCATAATTTCTAAAAGCTTAAATAGAATCCACATCATTGATAGATTTGTCTTTCTATAAGTCTGTGGAGCGTTCATCAGAGCCCACAGGATGCAAAAGTAGTACAAAATGCCCATCAAAATATTCTCCAGCTTCAATCCATTTAACATAATTTAACTAAGGTAACATACCTTAGTTAAGACAATCATCACTATTTGCTGACATTCATAGACAGTACATTTTCTTACAAGCATTTACTTCATAAAACACCAAGAGAAATTAAACTATGTTGGAACAGAGTGATGTCTAACACAACTGGAAAAGGAAAAAAAGGGTTCTGGACATTGTTATCCCAATGTTAATGTCCTAATCTTGATTTTTCTTACAAAGCAACTGGTTTTCTTTGAAATGTCTAATTGATGAATACAATTAAAAACTAAAGTTCTTTGTGAAGGAAAAAAAACATTATCTTCAGAAACCAGGAAGCTGAGTGTTAAGCCATTGCTTTGTTTCAAATGCAGCTGTATCTTGTTGCATGATAGCATTTATGGCATCACCAGTGGAATATTGTTTTTAATAAGTGCAAAACTGGTGAAGACATTGGTCTCCTTTAGAAAGAAAAAGTTAATAATTTCTTCTCCACCACATATTGGCTACCCTGTTTATTAAAAGATAGACATTTTTGACATTTGGAAAGCAATAATTGATTCTACAATATTATTAGGAGTCCATATAGATAGTGAACCTTTCCTGTCAGGATACGACAAAAAACGCGTAAGATAGGGACATCCAAGGATCACCTACCATTCATCACACGCAAGGTAACTGCTTTCCCCTAAGTTCACTCAAGCAGAAAATGAACAGTTGCCAATGATGATCAGAGAGATAGAAAATGCTGCTTCCAGGAATGAAAGTCTCTTTGTTGTTGTTGTTGTTGTTGTTGTTTTAAAGTTAAACCAATATTCTATATACTTTTGCTGAAATAGCAAGAGGGCCAGATTTGATAAGATCACAGTCCTGGAACTGATCAGTTGCTCCTTGATGTGTTTACAGAATTTTACAATCATATAACCAACAGATGCTCAAAAGTAGCCTCAAAACCAACAAAGACAAACATTCTGTTTTCAATCTTTGGTGAATTATTTTGAAGTTTCAAAGCATATTGCTCAGAATGGAATTTTACAAAGATAATCTTTAGATCTTAGTTATTTGGAGGATTATAAACTATACCAATTTACTGTTCTATCATTGGAAGAACTGCAAGTATTTTTTGCTCCCCACAAAACTAAATCTCCTCTGAAAATAGAAACCTATTTCAATAATTCAATTTGTATTGCAATCAATACAAATTGATTGGGTGCAATAAAAAGTACAGCTAATTCTTAGAAATAAGCATGCTTATGTCATTAAGGCTAAAACTGCTAGCATGAGAAGCTCAAGTGAAATAAATAAAGTGTATTCTTATAATAAGCATTGCCAAGCCATTGGTAGTTGAAGACACTATTCAAAGATGCAACCTTGTCTTTCATTGGTGTTCTCTGTCTGCATAGAAAGGGCTGTGAAAGGAGAGATGCAAAAGAGGCAAAGAAATAGGAAAAATGTCTTGGGAGAAGGAAGGATGTTCCAATGATATGGAATAACAACAAAAAAGTTAACTTGGGACAAGTTATTATTTAATAATACTGGAGACAATTCCAAAAATATTTTGAATCACATAATTATGCTGTGGAAGAAAAAAAAATTATTCAACGTCCAAGACTTTGTGTTTGTGAAAAAACTGTCCTCTTTATTTTATAGCCCATATATTCTAAATGTTTACAAAGATAAACAACATTGTTTTTGTGACCATTAAAATATGATATGTGAGGAAGTATGCAGGGCTTGGGACTTGAAGATTCTGCATCAAATTCAGAATAAATAACCTGTGATTTAGCTACAATTCGGGCCAAACCTTCATGGCTTTTTGACATCAAGAACTAGTACATAGTGAGGGATCAAAGGATGCAAAATTGAGTGTAATCAAGGATATATGATTTTTTCTTCTATCAGGTAAGGTACAACTGCTAGTATTGATGAAATGACAACTTAAAAAAAGGCTTTCTGGGCCAGACGCAGTTGCTAACGTCTGTAATCCCAGCACTTTGGGAGGTCGAGGTGGGCAGATCACCTTAGGTCAGGAGTTCGAAACCAGCCTGACCAACATGGTGAAAACCCGTCTCTACTAAAAATACAAAAATTAGCTGGGCATGGTGATGCATGCCTGTAATCCCAGCTACTCAGGAGGCTGAGGCAGGAAAATTGCTTGAACCCAGGAGGTGGAAGTTGCAGTGAGCTGAGATTGCGCCATTGCACTCCAGTCTGGGCAACAAGAGCGAAATTTCGTCTCCAAAAAAAAAAATGGCTTTCTGTTACAAAAATGACAGGTCAGTAATCTGTTACAGAAAAATTTATAATAAGAAAATGTGAGTAGGTAAACACACCTAAATATACCTTAAAGATTGCTCAAAAAAAGACTCAAGTGGATTAAGGACTTCCCAAAGTATTCTTAGTGGTGCTTGTCAAACACTATCCAGAAAGCCCTCGGTCAGGTTTGTAATCTTTTCGGTAGTGTTCATTTGTTGCAATAAAATAAGTCAGCAGTTTTAACAAAGAAAAAAATTCTATAATGTTTACTGTTTAATACTAAACACAACAGTGTGAGATTATTTCCTGGGCTTTTAAAAATTATACATATCTTTTTTTTAGAAACCTTTACAAGGAATAGTAGCATCCTATGAAAAGTTGGCTTAATATTTGATTATATATGGTGTGTATGATTATCTCCATAATTTGAGACATTAGGCTATTGGTCAGAAATGTGATCTCCACTGTAACAGCATTTTAGGGGAACAATTATATTTGATATTTCTGTTTTCAATTTATAGTGTCTATTCTAGAAATATAATCTGCCATAATCTGTCAAAACTGCCAAGACTGTTTGTAGTACTTCAATGGTACTTTACAGCTAATATCACCACCACCCAACACCCATCTGCATAATGCATTTAACCTTACAAAGAATACTTTTATCTATTATATTACTTCATTTTCAAAATGGTCTTATAAAACAGGTAGAGCAGGGATTTTAACTGAATTTCCATTATGAGGAAAATAAGGTAACAACCCATTCCTGGCAAAATCTGGACTAGAATTCAAATCATTTGGCTCCAAACTAACACATGCTTCTCCAAAAAGCAGCCCAGTATTTCCAGCGACTTAATTTAATGAACAGATTCAAGACATGGGTTAAAAATGTTGAGGATGTCAGGCTGACTGTCACTGAGTATACTTCTTGGGTAAGGGGCATCCTTACTCCTGTTAAGATGATCTTACTAACAGCTAAAGCAGACTGGGAGAATTTTGACAGGAGAACTACTATTCTTTTCAGACACAGATAGTTCCCTTTTGGTGAAACTTGTTGCAATGTTCCACAAAGTGTTACCGCATCTGGAAAGTCCATAATAATTTTGATTTATCTGCACTGACAGTCAGCAGTATGTTATATTCACTGTTGCATAATATTATTATCTGTTGATCTTCCCAGTAGATAATATATTCCTCAAAGGAAGAATCTTGCTTATTTTTTAACTCTGTTTAGTGCCAGCCATGTTGAAGTTGCTCAGTAAAATTTGTGGGAGGAATGAAGGCAGGAAGGCAGGCAGGCAGGAAGGAAAGGAAAGAAGGGAGGGGATGACGAAGTTTTGGAATTTTCTTTTGCAAAACACTCTGCTAATTGAATTTATGACACAAAAGAGTTCAGGGACAACAACAAGAAAAATGTTTGAAGTCATTGTAGCGAAAGAGTATCTCAAAAACAAGTAAGAGAATGACTTAATCCAACCACTTGATATGAAAATTACCAGTAATTAGCCTGTGTTAAAGAGATCAACTTTTTTACACAACTCAGCAGCAAATTGGTTAACTTAACCAAAGTTATGCCCAAATTGCTCCTTATCCAAACTGATTTCTATGTTTTGGTTTCATGAAACTGATCTATCATTCAGGACAATAAACTAAATAAGAACTAGGCGTTTTATATAGTGTTAAGGAAAAAACATCATTACTGGCACTAGTATCAAATAATATTGCTTTCTTTGGCAAGCAACTCAAACTAGGAAAATGAATTTATTAAAACTCTTCATGGACCTTATATCAAGTCTGCAATCTCCTAAATGTAAAACTCTGCCTATAAACATTGTCAGGGTAAAATTTTGCCTTAAAACAGAGTAATTGCTTCTATTTCCTGTGATGTTTACACAGCAACTCCTTCAGAATTACTCTTAAAAAGAAATAGAAAAGAAAATCAATAGCAACAGTGCACTATGAAATAAACTTTGTGGCAGAAATGGAACCAGAAGATTAAGATAAAACCATAAAAGTATGAAATAATAAAAAGGGCACCAAATTCACTCCATAAAAAAGACTAAACATGATTTCAAATGTATATTACACACACACACAATGGAATATAGACATTTTGTATTTCACAAGAACATTTTTATAAAAAATAATTTGCAAAAATTAATCCAGTAGCAATTAATACTATTCTGCCTAACCTCATGGTATTGACAAACCTTAATCAGATATTATTTGTAAAAATATACTTTACAGCATTATTACAAATGTTTCATTTTCCAAATAAATTATCTTTGAAATATTTTTACTTTGTATAAAATTTTTAAAATTCAAGAATCATATACTCTCTCTTGTTAAAAATGTCAACTACTAATTACACAACTTACTATAACTGCTTTTACTATTTGTATGCAACATTCTTCTTCATTATTTGTGTTCTACTTTGCTTGTTTTCCAAAGTCTCTGGAGATATTCTTGTAAGACAAATTTAAAACATTTATCAATTTTTATCTTAAATATTAATTTGAGTTGAAAATTAGACATGTTTACCTTAAATACTGAGCAAAAATAATTTCAACTATATATAACAGTTATAGATCTATCAATCCAAAATGTATATATATATATATATATATAAAACAATACTAAATGTAGTATCTTAAGTAATTTTGAAACTAACATGAATTTCCAAATGCTTCTTTAGCCTAGCAGACGTCCAATGATACACGGTTGAAGGTAACTGCTTCAATGGCAATCAATCATTAACCATCAAATCCACTCAAGACTAGAATCAAACTTTCTTCTATTAAATTACCCGCGCAAAACAACTGAGTTTTCCCATCCAAACCATTGGCCTCTGCAACTTGTAAGAGTAGAGGGAAAACAGACAGATCTACTTGATAATCAATTTAAAGGTTATCAAGGCTTTCTTTACTTTTGCTAACACAGTTTCTATTTTGAGCCTTCTTGGCCAATGTGCTTCTGCCTAAGTGTCACAATCTGTTTTAGGTCTTAGCTAAGAAAATGTCTTATATGGTTTTTACAGTTAAGGATTGACAACTGCCTTTTGCTTTTGTTGGTAAGCACTCCTCTAAAGTTCTCTTGCCTGATCAAACCTCACAAAAATAGAAATTGGTCCTTATTCTGAATGTTTAAAAGTCCAGTAAGCATTTACTTTTTCTTGACGTGTGTTAACATATACACGTTTTGATCTACTCTTGAAGTAATTAATTTAGGAAAGTGAATTACCAATACTGTACAAACACATGATGCCATATGGATTTTCAGGGCTGAACCAAGTTCATAAGCAAGATGGCAATGAGGAGACATCTATACTTTATCTTATTGCAACTACCACTTTGAGCTAAGTACACAGAGCTTGAAGGAGAAATCATTACTTGCTTCTTTGGAAACCAAATCCATCCTCTCAAACCCTATGGTTTTCCCTTCCCTTTGTTAGGCCATACTGATTTACATTGTATTTCAGTATTGAAATTTACATCAGACCAATTTCACATTGTTTAGTAACTTGTGATTTATGTAGTATTAAGATTAATTCCATTATGACCAATATCCTGTCATATCATTTAATTACATTGACATTTATTGTAATTACATCTAATAAATTAGATACATTTAAATACATTCCAGCTAAGAATTTAAACAAATGAGAGCCACCTGGCACAATGAGAGAAACTGTTTCAGTACAGAGACGGCAAAGACACTCTCTGCTCCCCAAGTTAAAATGATTTAGTTTGACACAACCTGGAGGAATTTATTCTGTGATCACGATATTTTCTCTTTTGCATAAGATACACAAAGTTTGAGATGGAATTTGGTGGTAATTAGAAGGCAGAGAAGACCATAAGAAATATGGGAGGTCATGCTTTTCTCTTTTCATTAAAAAGTTATCTAAAATGATAGCATAATCCTTGATAGTCATTTTTAATTGGCAATTATTGAGTACACACAGTGCAGCCAGAATTGAACTGAAGTGTCACATTGTCAAATGTGACTTTTCCTGTTGCATTTGCTTTGGCAGCTTGAACATAACTATTAGGACCAAGAAGAAATAAATACTTCACATTCTAAAGAATATGGGGCCAGATCCTCTTTCCAGAGCTATGATCAATAGCAACCCCCACCGCCTAATCCTCCTTCCCTAACACACTTTCTAATCTACATAAGGTGATCTGAGGATCAGAAAAGAGAAAGAGACAACGCATTCTTAATGGAGAATACAGAGGTTGTGTTCTCCGTTCTCCGTCAAAACACCCAATTTAAGTGCGATTGAACTCCAAAATAAATAAAGACAGGGACACTGGCATGTCACTTCCAGGGCTCTGTACTTACTGTCAGTGGAGTGAAGCAAAGAACTTTTAACTCAATTTAATACATGATCCCTGTGGCTTGAGGCTATACATGAGGAGAGAGAGGTGTCTACTCCTCACCTGGAGGTTTCTGAAAGCAAGAGACTCTCCAAACAATCTATCCTAGGGTGAAAGAACCTAAAAAGCCAAGGAGAAAAGCCCTCTCTGATCCTCACAACCCCCTGAGGTTGCTGAAGAAGACCTCAATGGGTAACTGACCTCAGTGGGTAACTGAGCTTCATGTGGAGAAGTATGAAGTAGAAGGTGGAAGAAGAACGACAAGGTGGTCTAGATAACAGTCATATTAACGGATCCTCATGGAGGAGTGAGGGACATTAGCTGCTTATAGAAAGTACGGTAGCAGGAGCAACAGCATGTTGTGTTTACACACTTTGACATCATATATTTCTGGATGAAGCCTCAGCACTATTTTTTTTTCTTTTTCTTTAGACACAGTCTCACTCTGTCACCCAGGCTGGAGTGCAGTGGCGCAATCTCAGCTCACCGCAACCTCCGCCTGCCGAGTTCAAGCGATTCTCTTGCCTCAGCCTCCCGACTAGGTGGGATTATAGGTATGCACCACCACGTCTGGCTAACTTTTGTATTTTTAGTAGAAACGAGGTTTCAGCATGTTGGCCAGGCTGGTCTCCAACTCCTGACCTCAGGTGATACACCCACCTCAGCCTCCCGAAGTGCTGGGATTACAGGCGTGAGCCACCCACCGCGCCCAGCCAGCACTGTCAACTCATTTAAGGTCTCTGAGCCTTACTTTCCTCCTCTGCAAAATGAGAACAATGTGCTCTACCTCACAGGGCTTTTATGATGAACAAATCGGACAATACTTTTAGAAATGATGTCAAATGATTACACTATGCAAACAATGATATTATTACTTAACCTATATATTACATTCAACTTCACTGCTTGCTCATATTATCTTACTATATTATATATATTCTTAGGACAGCTGGAGTCTTGTACTACTTTATGTCTTGTGTATTCTCCAGGTGTGCTATATTTAGCATAATCTAAGAATGATTTGCAATGACCCTTATCTTTGTATAATTCTCTTCCCTTTGAGTGTGTGTGTAACCTGTAAATATGACAATATATCTCACCAATGATACAGGCTGAGCAAGCCAAATCTAAAAATTTGAAATCCAAAATGCTCCATAATCTGAAACTTTGCAGCCAATATGACACTCAAAAGAAATGCTCATTGAAACATTTTGGATTTTGGATTTTCAGATTTGGGATGCTCAACTTGGTAAGTGCAATGCAAATATTTCAAAATCTGAAGAAAATCCAAAATCTGAAACATTTCTGGTCCTAGGCATTTTGGATAGGAGTACTCAACGTATGTGTGTGTGTGTGTGTGTGTGTGTGTGTGTGTGTGTGTGTGTGTTTGTGTGTGTGTGTGTGTTCAAGAATGGAAAAGCCACTAAGAATGCCCTCCAGCTGACAACCAGCAAGAAACTGGGACCTCAGTCCTACAGCCTCACAGAACTGAATACTGGTAACATTCTGAAGAAGCTTGGAAGCAGTTTCATCTTCAAATCCTCAAGATAAAGAGCCCAGTCAACTGGCTCCTTAATATTAGCCTTCTTGAGACCCTAAGCAGAGAAGCAAGTTGAGCTCCCACAGACATGTGATCTACAGAAATGTAAGCTAAAAAAATATATGTGTTTTTTGGCTACTAACTTTGTAGTAATCTATTATTTAGTGATTGAAAACTGATACAGATGCTAAAACCTATTTATTAAATGCATACTATTTATTAAATGAAAGCCATTGATTGAATGTTCATGAAGCAATTAATATATAATATCTGAGAACATTTCATGTGAGGTCTTGTCTGAAAATTCTTCTGAAGAATTTTGAATCCTTATTAGAATCTGAAAAAAAATCTCAGAGGCTAATCACAACTAGGATTAATTGGAAGACATGAATAAGCACCCCTGGTGATGTTTAAAACATTTGTTGAGGGTAGAGTGGTAGAGTTTAGCAAAACCTGTAGTCAAGTAGGATGGAGGCTCGGCACCAATATAATTTGGCCAAAAACTTCCATGGTTTACTCATAGGCTGATGGCATGTAGATTACATACAATGAAATGATAATTTTTATGTTAAGGAGAGAATTCTCAAAATATTTGTAAAAATGGGCAGTTTGGGATGGCTTTATGGAAAAGTGGGGTTCATGTTAAGTCTCAACACCGAGTACTAATGACTAAAGTAAAAGAACACTGATGAGGAACTAAAAGAAAACTACAGAGATAATCAAATCTGCTCCCCTGCCTCACCCCTTATGCATTATAATATGTCATCATTCCCTGCCAAAAATAGAATTCCTTTTATTTTAGTATATCTCTAGGGAATAAGATCGAAGAACACTCTCCTAGGAATTTAATTATCCTTCGTTGGAGGAAATCCTCTCGCTCAACATGAAGGCAAAAAGTAAAGGCCATTTCATCTTGTCCTGCCTCCCCCCCGCCTGTTAATTTTAAAACACATGTTTAGATACTAGAATATTTTAAGAAAACAGCTACCATACTGGCATCTGGTGCTATTGGCAACCAGTGCAAGGATAAGCTCCAGTGAGAATTTAAAAATGCCTTTTCCTAAGGAGAAACTGTTAAAAAAAAAAAACAACCTGATTATCAATTGTTCCCCAATTCATGAGGAAAAAGAACAAGTATTATCAAAGAGCTAATTTATAAATACCTGGATTTACAACTCTTTTCCACTAAGTATTTCCAAAATAATTGTTCTCAAAGTTAACTGTACACTAGAGTTAACTAGGGACCTTTAACAAATTTTGATGCCTAGTTTCTATGCCTTTAAAAATTCTGAACTAATTGGTCTGGAGTTCAGTTTGTTTATTGTGATAATTTCAAGAGCTCCCAGGTAATTCTAATTTATGGCCTCTGAGCTATGGTCCAGGATTACATGCATAGTAGACTTCTGAAGAAAGACAACCATGAGTTCAGTTTATTTCTCCACTAGAAGGACTGGATTTTAGAGATCTCTGAAGTAAAATATCCATGCATATTTGCTCTGAAATAAAAATGTTACAGAACAATGCTTTTATTTCAAGGTTTGCATTTTTCCAAAGGTTTTTTTTTTCAATTCCTCTGTTTGCAATGCAGCAATATCTTGTTTGAATGCAAATTAAATCTTCCTCTTAATAAGAAGGATGTGTCTCTGCCTCAGGACCATGTACAAACAGTCTGGTGATGGCAGGCAGTGACCCAGGGATGTTCATGATGGACTGAGAGAGACATGGCAAACATTACAAGCATGCATTGCAAATACTGGACTGTGGAAAATTAATAGTTTTAACCCTTAAGCCAACTTCACCTGGCACAGTAGCATATTTTAGCAATAATTTACCTACATTTTACACTAACTTGGGGGAATTACAGACACAAAGTTGGAAATAAACCATACTGAAGATAGCATTATACTTTACCTTGGCTGAAACTTGGGAAGCAACACAATTTGGCCTTTATATTTAAAAATCACGGTTCATTTGACGTCACATAAATGTAGAGAGAAGAGTGGAAATTTGAGTGAGAAAAGCTATTAGGAAGTATATTTACTAGAGAAGGAATAGAATTAACAGAACTTAGTTTTTTTCATCTTACATTTTCTTTTGTTGATAACGAATCAATTGGAACATTTTTGAGGTTGCCAGAATCTTCTGATTCTGGAGCCTAAATAAGGTTTTTTACTGGCAGGTTGACCGAATAATAGAAATTTCATGGCCAGAGGCCAACCAACACTTTATAAAAGCCCTCTGGACCAGGTGGTTGACAAGCCCAGGACTTACATGAATGCAACCCCAGAAGAAAAACTTGCAAGTGCCTCTTCAATAGCCATCCAAGACTCTTGCTTGAAATTCAAGGCAGCTGATGGTGATTTCGTCTTCCATTTACAACTTCTTTATTCTTATAAAAAGAATGCTGTATCCTTTTCTTTCCTCCCCAACACCAACAGTTCACTCGTTCAAAAACTCTAAGGCATTCAGTTAAAAGTAGATGAAAATATTGTTTGCCAGAAACATCTTCAAACAGAATATGAGTTTTCACACACGGAATGCTCATTAGAAGCAGAAGCAAACGTATCACTGTAACATAATAATAGCTCATATTGAGCAAGTACTCTGGGCTGTGTGCCTAACATACAATAGCTCATTTAATTAACCATAATGTTGGGTGGAAGCTATTATTTTCATTTCACAAATTAGGAATCTCAGACACATAGAACTTAAATCACTTGCTGAAAGCCGTACAGAAAGCAGTAAAAGATCCAGTATTCAAAAGTAGGTAATTTGGCCAAAAGTGTCCACTCTTAATTATACCACTCTATTGTAGCTATTGTGTAAAGTGGCCCATGAGAACAAGCAATGGGTACCTTGCCCCAGTGGAAAAAGATAAATTCAGGGAAGTTTCTTGGGTAAGTTTATTTCTGCACTAAGTGAAAATGTTAAATAAAAAAATATATGGATGAGGTAGGCAGGGCCCAGTGGCTCATGCTAGTAATCCCAGCACTTTGGGAGGCCAAGGAGGGCGGATTACGAGGTCAGGAGTTCGAGACCAGTCTGGCCAACACAGTGAAACCCCATCTCTACTAAAAATACGAAAATTAGCTGGTCATGGTAGTGGGCACCTGTAATCCCAGCTACTCGGGAGGCTGAGGAAGGAGAATTGCTTGAACCCAGGAGCGGAGGTTGCAGTGAGCGGAGAATGCGCCACTGCACTCCAGGCTGGGCAACAGAGCAAGCTTCCATCTCAAAAAAAAAAAAAAAAAGAAAGAAAGAAATTATATGGATGAGGTAGATGGAGGACGGGGGATGGAATTCCTGGCATAGGGGATAGCATAACTGAAATCAAAAAGGTTGAAACAAAGCAAAACAAAAAAACAAACTTACATTGTGTGTTGGGCAGTTTGGTACAGTAAAGAGATAATATAAAAATCAAGGAGATGGCACTGGAGAGGTGAACTAGGAGAAGATCATGGCAGTCTTAGTATCACACCAAGAACTTTGACTTTGTTCTACAGGTCAGAAAATCTCAAATATTTCTGATCATGACCCACAGAAAAAAATATATTTTACTTGGTGACAAATACTTTTTTAAGCATGTATTTTACTTCTATATAATAAAAGTTTATATATCTTTATTATACATGTTATTTATAATACGTCATATTATAGATAATATCACACACACACACACACACACACATATGTACACTCAAACTGGTTGAGCACCCTAAATCCAAAAATTTGAAGTTTGAAATGCTCCAAAATCCAAAATTTTTTGAACACCAGAATGATGCTCAAGGAAATACTCATTAGAACATTTTGTTTTGTTTTGTTTTGTTTTGTTTTTTTTGAGACAGTCTCACTCTATTGCCCAGTCTGGAGTGCAGTGGCACGATCTCAGCTCACTGCAACCTCCGCCTCCTGGATTCAAGCAATTCTCCTACCTCAGCATCCTGAGTAGCTGGGACTACAGGTGTGCACCACCACATCCAGATAATTTTTTGCAGTTTTACTAGAGACAGGGTTTCACGATGTTGACCATGCTGGTCTCATACTCCTGTCCTCAAGTGATTCGCCCACCTTGGCCTCCCAAAATTCTGGGATTACAGGAGTAAGACACGATGCACAGCCATCATTAGAGCTGGGCTCTAATCATCATTCATATTTTATATTTTCATATTTGGGATGCTCAAATAGTGCAAATATTCCACAAACAAAAAAACCCTGAAATCTGAAACACTTCCGGTTCAAGCATTTTGGATAAGGGACATTGAGTCTCTCTCTGTCTGTCGTGTGTGTGTGTGTGTGTGTGTGTGTGTGTGTGTGTGTATGCATCTGTATAGTTGGCCCTTGAACAATGTGGGGGTTGGGGTACCCATACACTCTCAGTTGAAAATCTGTGCATAACTTTTGGCACCCCCAAATTTTAACAACCAGTAGCCTACTGTTGACCAGAAGCCTTACTAATAACAATAAGCAGTTGATAACACATATTTTGTGTGTTATATGTAGTATATACTGCATTCTTACAATAAAGTAAGCTAGACAAAAGAAAATGTTATTTAGAAAATCATAAAGAAAATACATTGACTTCATTAGGTGGAAATTAATCATCATAACAGTTTCATCCTTGTCAACTTCACATTCAGTAGGCTGAGGAAGAGAAGGAAGAGGAGGGGCTGATCTTGCTGTCTCATGGGTGGCAGAGGCAGAAGAAACTCTATGTATAAGTGGACCTGTACAGTTCAATCCTGTATTGTTCAAGACTCAAGTGTGTGTGTGTGTGTGTTTGTGTGTGTAAGAGAGAGCATTTTATATATATATATATTTGCAATTGAATGAAAATTTTCAAGAAAATTAATGAATCTTACTATTCAAATATTCATATTTTCTATTCTATTTCATATCAGTTCTAGACTATTTAGGAAATGAGTAGGCCTCTCAATTCATTTTTAGGCCCCATTAATGAGCTATAATACTGTTTAAATAACACTGTTATGGGTGTTGGAAATATATGCGCTATCATCAAAGGATTTTGATTACAGGAGACATAGTTTAGAGTGTTACTTCAACTGGGTCACTCTGATAGCAGTCATTAGCTGTCTGAAGATGATTTTGAGTCATTTGCCAAGCTCAGGCAAAAGAGAAAAGGGGAGACAAAATCAAGTCTACTTAGATGCCACAAAAAATAAATTGAATAACTTAGAGTCTCCACTAAAATTATAATTCTTTATTAGAAGAATGTTAAAGAAATGATCCGAGGACCACTATTCTTGAATATCCTTAAAAGTGCAATACAAAGCCAGTTAGATTAGCAGGGTTACTGACATACCCGCCTGAAGGAAAGGAAACAAACAGGCGACCACTGGTGCCCTCCAGCTCTAGATTTATTTCCCTGGTCACTGACTATCTGAAAACTAATTTTGGTTGCCTGAGAATAAAAAGTCAAAAGTACATGAGATTGCTCTGAAGAGGAGTCTACAGAAATGTATTAGAAACAGATGAATAGTCATGACCCTCTTTACTCAATCCACTCTTACACAAATGTCTATGCAACTACAGAAGAGAATTCAGTACCTATTTATCAATAAAAGAATATGAGAATGTTTCTGCAGGCTCCTAAAAAAAACCTTTCCTATGAACAGAAGATAATGGGGTTATTATAGACAAGGCAACAGCGCCTTCTGAAATATTGCAAACTAATTAAGAATAATTATTAATAACATTTTTGGTGGTATTGTCTTATGCTTGACTAATTTGTAAATATTCTGGTATATTTGAACTTTCACTATTTTAGCCTGTACCCTATTTTTTAGCACAGATTTTAATTAGAAAAATAGAAGTAATAACAAGGGAAATCACATGTTAACTAATGAACTGAGCCTAACAACAAAAAAGACACAGGGAGGCCCTTGAAGGACTCTCTAGCTTGATGTTCTTCTTGGAATCTAGGGCAGGGCAAAAGTCCTAACATCACTCTATGGACAACAGAGATGAACCACATGAGCCAGGTGCTAGAACTGTGATATTTATCTCTGTTTCCCTGTGTGTACCACCACCCCACAACTCCAAAAAAGAAAAAAATTATAAACACATCCACTAAAATTGGCAATTCTAGAGAAACTGGATGGCCTGTTAACATCTGGCTTTCCCAAAACTCAATTTTTCTGTAACTCATTCATTTTTTAGCCTTTGATTCTGAAGAAATTACTTGCCTCCTGGCCAGCCACAGAGGCTGACGCCTGCAATCCCAGCACTTTATGGGGCAAGGCAGGTGGATAACCTGAGGTCAGGAGTTCGAGACCAGCCTAATAAATATAGTGAAACCCCGTCTCTACTAAAAATACAAAAATTAGCCAGGCGTGGTAGTGGGCGCCTGTAGTCCCAGCCACTTGGGAGGCTGAGACAGGAGAATTGCTTGAACTTGGGAGGTGGAGGTTACAGTGAGCTGAGATTGTGCCACTGCACTCCAGCCTGGGCAACAGAGGGAGACTCCGTCTCAAAAAAATAAATAAATAAAAATAAATGAAATTACTTGCCTCCTTCCAGGCTTGCTATAGATAAATAAACATATACGCGCAATCTATATTTCTCCATTACACTGCAATCATTTCCTTGTCACTAGAATTGTATCTTGTAGTCCAAGAGGTAAGTAATCGGAACTGTCAGGACAAACTCTTGGGACTGTAAATGTGCTATCTGGAGCATAACTATCCTAAGAATAAAATCCAAAAGCAAAAACTCATCAGAAAAGATTTGAAACTCATTTCAGACAAGATGCAGACTATAAACAAATAAATACACAATATGAAAGCAACTTAAGTCTCATGATGGAAAGATTTTGATCCAACTGATTATTATTGTTCCTAGTTCAAAATATTTTAGGCCTTATCAATGGCAATGCATAACAGGAATGACTAAGGTTAGCTTTTCAGTGAATCATCAGAGTAGTGATTAAACTGATGACATACAAGACTCCTAACTGGATTTTGAAGATTGAGTACAGTATCCAAAACTAGCACTGGAACAAGACAACAACGTTCATTCAGCCCACAAGAAAACCAGTTTAAAACTCTGAAACAATGACACCATGAGTATATTTGTGATAATTATTTGCCATGCCAATTATATTAAATCATGAGGAGGTAGTACACATCTACATGCATAACGAGCCCATTTTTATGTTAGCATATCTCCAAGGACTTTCCTGCTGTGTATTTTATACTGCTACTGCCTTATATTTTATGTTAGCATTAATGTTTTAATTTTCATATACATATCCTTAGGCCATTTTACGAAGGGCGTGGCTTTAAAAATTCAGTTGATATATTAAATTAATGTTAAAAAAAGGTCATGTAACAAGTAGTCCTAAATCAGTTCTTTGTGTTCCCTCTGTACATTCAAACCTTCTAATATGGTTTATTTATTATGGGTAATACAGAAGTAAGATCTGGGCTCTAAACTCTGACCATCTGTCAGGTTAACATGCATATGCACTAAGTGTCTTTCTTCAGATGATGGATCCTACCACAAGTCCTCCCTAAAACAATATATCAATCCCCTTCCCCACAAAAATAAAAAAAATTGATTTATATCAAAATAAATACATAAAATAGAGCTTCTCTCTAAATTGGCCTTCTGATTAGAATACTACTTCATCACCTCAGAAAACCTGTCTTAATATTATACAGGTAGAATAATTTACCAAGGTGTAAAGAATTTTTTAAAAAATACAAAAAAGAGACAAAATAGTGTAGTGATTAGGAATAAAAGTTCTAGAACAAGACGATCTCTATCAGACCCAGTTCGGCCATTGACTGTCTTGTGAGTCTGGTCCAGTTATTTCACCTTTTAGAGCTTTAGTTTTCTCAATTCAAATAAGAGTATTCACCACAAGGTTTATTTAAAAAAATAAAAGATCCATGTAAAGCATTTGTATCAAATTCAACATATTTATTAATATTACTATTGTTACTAATACACAGATGACTTCAAAAGCTGCTATTAAAAACCAAGTAAGGATGTGGGTGGCATGCTGTATTTTAGATTCAGATTCAACAGCCACTATACTAGTTACATTCATATGACATTCATATCACATTAACGTCATAGCACAGCACAGCAATTAAGAATAAGGGTCTGTCTGGTTTTAAACCTTAGTTCTATCACTTATTAGCTGTATTTAATTCAGTAATCTTCTTAACAGTTCTATAAAACAGATAATAGTATTACATACCTTATAATGTTGTTGGAAGGATTAAATAAATTACTATATGTCAAGCTCTTAGAAAAAAAAATTTGCTGTTGTAATTATGGATTTTATTTCAGAACGGAAAATGTCCAAATATTTAAAAAGCCAGAAGAACAACAGAACCAGTCTTGTAGTCACTGAAGTAATGATAATTTAAAAAATCATAATAATAACCATTAAAACAGTAACATGCTATACTTAGCTCAAGCGTAGCATGCTATCATTTGCCTACAATTTCACTATATTACCCACATGACCTCTCAACAAGCCTGTAATGTGGGTAGGCTATAGATTATTGCCTTCAAATTATATTTCATGAACTTGAGGTTCAGAAATCAGTGACTTGCTAAGCCACATAATAGTAGGTGTTCGAGCCAGTGCTAGCATCTAAGCATGGGCCTCATGATCCAATGCCCTTTCCACTTCACTCCTTCACAATGGCCGAAGAACCAAATTCAAGGCAAGGCCATCCAACAGGCCATCCTGATAAGAACCCCTCCTGAAATAAGACAACACGGTCACACAAATCAAGTGCACATGCTTTCTAACTCAATGGTTATAAAGAAGTTATAGGTAACAACTGATACATCTGCACAAACCATAAGGCCATTAACACAAAGATGCATTTTAAAGCTAACCAGTTCCAGCAGATTATATTCATGTAAAGAGAATTTGGTTTTCCTTTCCTTCTGACACTTCATTTTCCCTTTGTCTCCCAAATCTGTTAATAACTATTTTTAGGCAGATGGAGCATTTCATGAATGGGTCACTCTTAAAAATCTCATTTGGTTTCCAATTTTTCTTCAAGCATTAAGACTTACTACTTTTAGATTTTTTGGTTATTATACACAAAAGAATATATGTGGATAGAATATACACACATTTATGCAAATATATATATATATATAGCATGCATATATATGCACATGCATGTCTATCTATACATATACATTTACAACAAAGAAAAACTGCTTAATTTTATGTATAAGAGATTCAGAGAACTAGACCAGGTAACACTCAGAATATACACATTATTAAGGAGAAAGCAAAAAATAAAAGAGAAATCAGTAAACACACAAATCTTCCCATTGACAAGGTTCCCTTTCTGAGCTTCCTTTCACTTTACTTCTGATTTTCTTCTCATATTATGTGCTTCAGGTAATTCTGCACATTTTCTTCTCCTGAAGAGAAGCCATCACCAGAAGAAAAAGCCATGAGGTCTTTTTAGAGAGAAGAAATTCACAAATACTGTTAGGCAGGGAGGCAGTCAACAAGCACTTACTGAATCCCTAGCCCCCTAAGCACTGTACTAGGTGCTTAGAACTGAGTCCCTCCTGCTATTCAGTTAGAAGGATGGAAAAGCTATGACTTCTAGTATTAGCACTGACCTAGTTAAGCCATGAATAAAGAATTAAAAGGTTTTCATCTTCCACCATACAAGTTAAGAAAACAAAACCAGAAACCTTGATATATGTTTTTCAGCCCAATGCATTATGGTTTCACATATGTTTCAGCTCTTATTGAAATTTTTTAGCTCAATTTCTTTTGGTCTAGAAAGTTAAAAAATGTCCAAGTCAACAACTCAGTAAGAAATTTAGAAAGTTTCCAAACAACTCAGTTTTGGAAACTTTTTAGTTCAGCATTTCCCAAACTCTTTGCTATTGACATTTTAGGCTAGAAAATTCTTTCTTGGAAGGAGCAGGGGCCTTTCCTGTGAATTTTAGAGTGTTTAATGGCATGCCTGGCCTCGACTCATTAGATGCCTGTTATCACCTCTCCAACCGAGTGGTGACAACCAAAAATGTCTTCAGACATTGTCAAATATACCCTGGGAGCAACATAATTCCTGAGTGAAAACTATCTAGGCCAAAACTTCACCTAACACATAACTCTATTAGATGGATAGCATGAAAGGATGGCATATAAAGGTCTGGAAATAGAATGACATTAAACTTAAAATAATCAGCCTTTTTCCTAAAGGTATTTTTATTCACCTTGTACATAACATTGAGAAAACATCACTTGTCCAATATCAAAAATTGGGGACCTTAAAGCAATACACCCCTGGTCTTCCCAAATCACTGCTCTGGCTTGCTTTAGTTTGTAACATTAAGGCTCTGTTTCCTAGAAAGTCCAGAGCTAAGACATACAGGTTGCTTTCAGTTCTTCAGAGGCAAGGAAACTAAGAAAGGTGGTAATCATAAGAACACCACACATAAAAAGAAAGGGAAGAGTAAACCGAGTTTCTGTTCTTAAAAGAAACAGTGGGAAAAAAGAGAAGACATACATTATCATTTCAAAGCAATTTATCTTAACAATAATTGGGCAAAAGACATTGTTTTTAGTTGTGTTCTTGCAGAAGTAATGTCAAATTTACTTGAAAGTTAGAGTTTTAGAAAATTTTAGATGCAGGGAGTACATGTGCTTGTTACATGGATATTACTTGTGTAATAGCGGGGATTGGGTTTCTTGTGCACCCATCACCCAAATGTTGAACATTATACCCAATAGGTAATTTTTCAACTCTCATTCCCCTCCCACCATCCTCCCTTTTGGAGTTTCCAGTGTCTGTCATCTCCAGAAAATCAGATAACTTAAAAGGTTTCATGCACGTTAAATAGTTAATAGTTGTTTTATTACACCAAAGGAAAAATGAAAAACTGTTTTTCCCAAAACAGCATAAATGTTTATTTTCTGTATGTTTACTTTGCTGTCCCATTTCTATAATATAGAAAAGTATATTATTTGAATAGCTAAATGTATTTATCATAAATATATTACTTTTATATAAATATAGTAAATATATCTTTTACTTTGGGATGTAAACAGAGCTAAAATATTATATTCTCAAAAGCCCCAAAATAGTCCTTAAAAATCATTGAATTAATGTGGTTATTTAATCTTGCTCAGCAATTTGATGCAAACGCCTAAATACAAAAAGTGGTTTAGTAGGTACTACAAAGGAAGGAAGAAGGAAGGAAAAGACTTAATACTCTAGAATGTTTCCTGAAAATCAGAAAACAAGTAGCATTCAATTGTAGCTAAACTAACTAACTAACTCTCTCTCTCTCTCTCTCTCTCTCTCTCTCTCTCTCCTCCTCTCCCTCCCTCCCTCCCTCTCTGTCACACACAAAAACACACACCACAACCCTGATTAAATACCTGTTGGAAGAAAGGAAGGAAGCATATGAGGCAGCATGGAAGAGAGAAAGAGAGTGACAACCTCAAGAGACATCATTGACTTGAGTTCTAGTCCTATGATGGATTTCAGAAAGTGGTCATAATCTCTTTAGGCCTCAGTTTCTCATATGTAAAATTTGAGGGTTTACTAGAAGATACATGTATTCTCTTCAATTTAAACAGTCCCTGATTCATAGTGTGTTTCAGATTAGGGTAGTAGGAGGAAGATTCTGAGTTTCAGAATCTAAGAAAAATTAAATGATCTAAGTTACATTCTAAAATCGATATGAGCTGCAATTCTGAGAACAACTTGGCCAGCTAGCCCGAATATTTTTGGCAATGCCAGCAACAGATTGGCTGGATGGCACTGCACAAGAGAATCTTTTTAACACAGTCTGCTCAATCTGGTCTATCCAATGTTCTGCTTGGGATAACTTTAAATTTGGGTTGACTTAGAACTTGTCCTTGGTATCTCACTGGCTGTTAAGAGGACAGTCCATGATAAATGTCTTCTTCATTAAAAGTCAATTCTTGCCAACTTTTTCATGCTACTTTTTTTCTACAATACCACATATAATTTGAGACATACTGCCCACAAAACAGAACCTACAGAAGGTTGGAAACAATATTCTATTCTCTCTTTCAGAGACATGTAACATTAAACAGGGTTCAAAGGGAATGCATTAGAAGTTTACAGAGGAATTTGGATTACAAATGGTTCACAGGAACAGTAAGTACTTTTTTTTGGCTTACCAGCTAGAAGTGGGACATAAGGTAAACAAGCTATGAGTAGATTTCTATAGAGGTAAAACACCTCATGTTACATATCACCACACCCCTGCTGTATAATACATACCATAAAGTATTATTACAAGATTTAAATATTTACATCAAGGTTTGCCAATGAAAAGAGCTTTGAGAACCATGTTAGCTTGTAGCTGCCAAAGACACAAGTAACAGCAGTAGTTGAAATCAGGCAGTAGTCTGGGGAAAATGGGGAATCCAAGAACAAAGCCATGTATGAATTTCTCCCTGTCTTCCATTTCAAAGTGCTCTTTGTAAAGAGAAATACCTAACAATGCTTGAGAACAGTTTATATTTATAATTGTAATAAAAAAGAAAATACTGAAGACTGTATTTTTAGGTGTCTTAGTTCAAAGGAGCAAAACACTTTGTCATCCTAATCAGAAAAGACATTTAAGATAACAACTGGAGAAAAGTAGCTTTAGAAATAAGTAGGAAACATGTCCTAAGATATTTTAATAATGTCAAGCAGCTATTTGCACAAAAATATGGAGCTGCTCCACATTTCACTACATCTTCCAGGGAGACGGTAGTAGATATGAGTAGGTAAACATCCCTAACCTGTCTAGTCACATCAGCATATTAGCCACAGAGAAACAAGATACATAAATTCTGGGACCACCTAAAGTGATTTGTTGATCAGCTCTGTGCATAATTACTGCTTTTGTTTAATTACTTTTAATTACCTGTTTTTCTTTTGTCCTTATGCCCTGAGGTGAGTTTTTCATCAGTAATGGGCATGATTTTATGAATATCACATGCAAACAAGCAAATTAGACCCACTGAACTTGGGAAACCATTTTTCCCCATCCCTTCTCTAAAGGTTAGCTGCTATTTTCTGAAAATGATATTGATTCTATGGTAACATGCACAAAGGCACTAATCAGGAGAACAGGAGCTTTTGTGAATTCAGTAAAGCTTATAAAATACCTCATTATAACATGCTACCAATCTATGACCCCAATAATAGCAGTCCCAAAATTATAAATAAATTAGATGTTTAAATTGTTACCCTTTTTTATACTACATAGTGTAACACACATTATAATTTCCAGAAGAGCTCTTAAAGAAAAAAAATGTGGAGAATGAAAATTGAAAAGCAGCAGCTGCTTAGGAGTGCTTAACCTAGAGCTAGACGTCCAGGCAGATCGAAACTGCCTGCTGCTCCTCCTTCCCTTTTCCTATACTGCCTACAAATAATCGGTTTGATTTTTCATACCACGATTTTGATTAAGCACTGTGTCATTATTTCTGGGTAATAAACAGTTTTTATTATTTTCAGTTTAAAGCAATTATTGCCAAAAGGAATTTTTAATTTTAATATTAATTTATTTAGAGACAGGCTCTCACTCTGTTGTCCAGGCTGGCTGGAGTGCAGTGGTTCAATCAGACCTCACTGTAGCCTTGAACTCCTGGGCTCAAGCAATCCTCCTGCCTCAGCCTCCTGAGTAGCTAAGAATACAGGGCGGTGCCCCCACATCTGGCTAATTTAAAAAAAAAAATTTGTAGAGACACGGTCTTGCTGTGCTGCCCAGGCTGGTCTTGAACTCCTGACTTCAAGGAATTCTCCTGCCTCAGCCTCCCAAAGTTCTGGGATTACAGGGGTGAGCCACTGTGCCAGGCTCAATTTTTGTTTTTAATGATAATAGCTAATTCTGATGAGAATCCTTGAAGCAAAACTCTCACACCTTGCTAGTGTTCCAGCATGTATAATCCCCTGTTATAGCCTGAATGTGTCCCCCAGAATATGTGTGTTGGATACTTAATCCCCAGTGTAACAGTGTTGGGAGATGGTGTCTAATGGGAGGTGTTTAGATAATGAGAGCTCTACCCTCAAAAATGGATTAACACTGCAATATAAAGAGCTTTGGGGAGAAGGGTTCTGCCCCTCTGCTCTTCTGCCTTATGAGGAAAAGGATTCCTTCCCTCTGGGGGATACAGCACTCGAGGCCCCATCCTAAAGCAGAGACCAAACCCTTACCATCAGACACCAGATGCTGGAGCTTTGGTCTTGAACTTCCCAGCCTCTAGACCCATGAGGAAAATAATTCTATTCTTTATAAACTACCTGGTTTTAGGTATTCTGTTATAGCAGCAAAAATGGACTAGAGACATCTCCTTTTAAAAGTCTTGCATGCACTGATAATTGTTGATGTGGTAAATTGAATTAAATAAAAGAATCTAAAATGACTGTCTTAATTTTTTTAAAAACAGTTTTCCATTGACAGGTGTTCAAAACAGCATTATTTTTAACTTTTGGGTTTGTGTAGTAAATTAATTAGGGGTTTTCTTTTATATTTGTGTTTTCCAATTTTTCTTTAAGGAGGATTTAGTATTTATAATTACAATAATTTTTAGAAAAACATTCTCATTTAACCATGAAAAGAGTTTTAAGGTATTCACAATAACGTATTAGAGCTCAGTAGCTTTAACACATTTCTTTCTACAGGTACATGACATAAGTGCATGATGATATTTACTAAAGGATAGAAAGAGAAGTCTTAACTATCTTGAAAACATGAAACAATTTAATGGTGAGTTTAAAAAAAACCTATGTATTGCAATTAATTGACAAATAAAATATTGAGACATGGGCTTTAGGTTCCTCTGAGGCAAAAAAAAAATACCCTGTTTATTAATTTTTTGTCCCCTTCTCCTTGCTGTTGTAGAATATATGAACATGGTCTTATAATAGGTTCAGAACCATGGATAGCAGATCCATGCTTTTAGGTAGATGCGGCATTATCTTAAGAGACAAAGTATCTGCTGATCTTCAGTCTGCTTTGTAGTGGCCTCGTTATGAGGGCAAATCAGTTACCTTCTCTGGGCCTCCTTTGCCTCACTGGTAAAGCAATTCATTGCCTTGCCTTTCCAATAGGGGAAAATTAGACTAAATAAATTTTGGCCATTTACAGCTGAGGACTAGGACTTTTTTTTAATCGTTCTGATACACAAATAAATATGCTCTGACATTATTCCACGGATGAGTTTTACTTTTTTTGTTTACTTGAATGAGAATAATGGATAAGAAAAACATTTTCAATAAGGTTAATTTATCAATATATCTACTTCCCTATTGTCTTCAGTCCATAGTTCTAGTAATGAGCGCACCACAAAATTGATAATTCCATCAGATTATCATGGAAAACGAGCATTGTTGTATGAACGTTTTTGTGACTACTGCAAAGGTCAGGAACAGGTCTGCTTTGAAAACTTCAGATAAAGATAGTTTTTAAAAAGTTCCTTAACACACAGTCCTAGGAGTACGCTATTAATTTTTCAACTTAAAAAACTAAGGTTTCCATATCTTTTTTGGTAGCTTCAAGGGAAAGGAAAAAAAAAATGCCTTCACATTCCTAATTATTTTGAAATATTTTTCATTGGTTACTACTTCTTAAAAATTCATTATCCTTTTTTTTTTTTTTACTTTTAGATTTTATCAAAACCATATAGCTATTTCCTCTCTGATTGACAAATAAAGCCACTATCGGTTTGGCACAAAATCTAGAATATGGTAGACTCTCAATAAATGTTAGATCCTCTTTTTCTTCTCTCCTATTCTTTCCTATTTCTATAAGGTACATTTCATAAGATTTTACATGTGGCATTCATCTTCTAGATCAAAAAATGTATCATTTAATGGAAAAGAATAAAGTTTAAAATCCTAGATTAGTGTCTGCGGGTGTTGGTAAAGCTGAATGGCTCCCACGTTTTGGATAATCTCATTCAATTTTTCTTCCATATTTTTCCTTGAATTTGCCACTTTCTTTCTTTCAAAAGCCAAGGCTCTCAATATGTTTGGATTCTCTGTTAAGTTATGCTGTTTATTCAATGGAGGCATGAATTCAAATTTGTCCACATAAATTTGACCTCCTAATGCTACACGTTGTTATTGGATTTCTGTTGTTTCTCTTTTAAGTGGCCCTGGTTGTCTTAAAACCTGCTCATTCCTTCTTCGAGCTGTCGCCATCCTCTACAATGCTGGAAATTCACAATCATGAATATTATACAGGGAGATACAATAAAAATCTATGTCTTTATAATAGAGTCAACAGGTATAAAAAGAAAGTTATTTCAAATAAAAAGTTTAATATTCTACATTTCATAATTATTGGGAAGCTTTGAGAGTCGATCCCAGGAATGCTCTTATCACATTATTCATTGTGGAGAAAAAGTTCAGTAAAGTAAATATAGTAATTAGAGCTCATGCAAGACCATCAGATGGTAAAATATCTAAATTATCTCACTAGAAGGCTGTTTATAGCAAGGGAAACTAAAATATCATTCTAACAATGTATACATACCATAGAGAGAATGATATTGAGTCTAAACCTCCAATTAAGTATAGGCATTAAGGATGCACATCATTAGAAATATGCTGTGACTTTTGTTTCAGCCAATTATAGAAGGAAGTTAGAGCTAAGAATTTCTTGAAAGGTGATTTTAGATGTGAGTGAAGAGGAAAAGACAGGAAATAAAGCTATCATTTATTTTTTGTCTTAGGACAACACTGAATATTTGTCAGAAGCATCTGCTCCTTAAATAACACAATTGAATAAAAATTGGCATCTGAGGTTTGAAAGTTAATTTCAAAGGTTTATTATACCACAGGGTTCATATTTAGCAGCTGTCAATTTGTTATCGACAAGTGTAATAAAATTCAGCAAAACTTGAAATCTTCCCTTGCCAAAGAGACAGCTGTTTCTGAATGTTGGAGATTTGGGGAGTTTTTTTTTAAACCAACCTCTATTTGAAAAAGACCTTACTTTTATTTATCAAAAAAGTCATTTGATGATAAAATATTGATATTCTTTAACTGTGTTTGTAAAAAAAATATATATTTTTAAATGTGGGATTTTGTTGTTCTTGCTGATTCAATATTTGTAGACAGTGTTTCAACCTGGGTAATGTGGACCCTCCATGGGATATCTGGCAATATCTAAAAGTGTTTCTGTTTGTCACAACTAGATACTATTGGCATCTAGTGTGCAAAGACCAGGGATGCTGCTAAACATTCAATAAAATGCAGGACAGCTCCCACAACAAAGGATTATTTGGCTCAACATGTAAATTGTAACAACCTTGAGAAAATTTGTTTTAAGGAAACTGATACAATGGATTTAGATTAAAGATTAGTTTGCATTTACAGACTTTCTAAACCATGGTTTTCACCTGGTGGGGAGCTGCAGGCAGGCACCGGTTGTGCTTTAAGTAAGTGTTATTTGAACAACAGAGTAAAACTCCTTAGCTCGAAATTATAGCAAGTACATTCGCACTGATGTAATTAAGTTTGTGTCAGTTACACTGAATATATTTCTATGTACAACATTTTGTAACTGTGCTATAAAAATAAATCTGTAAAAAGTTCGACAGGAAGTTTCTTTAGGTAGTAATTGTTTTCTACAGATGCATTAGCTAATATTCTACACAGACTCCATAATTCATATTAAACAAAAAACTTGAATATTGTTTTAGTCCTACCTTTTACCCCATTATTTTCTCAACTTGACAATACTAATAAGCAAATCTATATTTTCAAACAATATCTCTAGATCACACATTCCTTAAATAATTATTTTAAGTATGCTACATAACCAAAACAGACATTTTCAGGGCCGAAATAAGGACCAGGGATCCACATTTTGTTGAATGTCTACTCAGTCATTGAGAAAAGTACTTTTTATTTAATATCAATTTACTTCAATAAAAATGTCACCTAACATGTAAAAATACTTAAAGAGAGAGTACTATTTAACCCATGAAAAATAAAAGAACAGAATGAGACAGCTGCAAAATCAAATGTATTTAGGTGTTTTAGCTAAAAGTATACATTATTCCAATAAAATTACCTTTTGCAAATAATATTACTAAGAAGAAATTTAAAGAAAACATACTCCACTATCATAATGGTGATTTTCATTTAAATTAGAAACACATTTCAAAATTCATGACCTTGGAAACTCTCATTTCATTTGAGCCTCCAGAGTAGTGTGCTGTCTCTCTCTGTCTCTCTGTCTCTCTCAATCTTTTAATTTAACAAATACTTATATAGCATTTACAATATACTTGATAATTGTAGAAATATTTTACAAGTATTAACTCCTGATGACCCTATAATGTAGGCACACATATTATCGACATTTTGCTAACAGTGGAACCGAGTCATGCAGGGATTAAGTAATTGGCCAAGGTCCCATAGCTAGTAAGTGACAGAGGTAGGATTTGAATTAAGGAAGTCTGGTTCCAAAAGCCTTCCTCTTTAGCGCCACGTAGGTGGCCTCCCCTCTTCATTACATAGTATTACACCTTTTATTTATCTCAAACTTGCCCAGGTAGTGTGACCTTGGAGGAGACATATGTGAAAGGTTTCAAGTCAAGTCAAAGCCTGTGGGAAAGTGATGGGGAGAATGAGAGAAACTGAATGATCTCACCAGCTAATCCATCCATGGAGATGCTTTGTTCAGAAATCTCTTAGAATTAGAAGTACAAACATAGTTAGATCTGAGTTGAATGCATCTGATCTATAACTTCCATTTGTTTATGGCACACATTTTATATCACTGACAATTTCTTTTTTCTCTACAAGGAGAGGCAGTATAGAATGGTGTTTAAGAGCACAAACTCAGGAGTTAAATCTCCTGGGTTCCGTTTCCAGATTTAACTTGCTATTACCATATTTGTATTGTATCTCTTGAATGGTGAACAGAGAAAATATGATGTAGTCAAGAAGTTCTCTCCTTCCTGAGCACACTGTCAGATTACACTTCCCCACTTCTTCCTAAGTGGGGCCATGTCATTAGTTTTCACCAATAATGTAAGAGTAGAAATAAATGCATGATACCTGAAGCCTCAGATGCATTGAGAGCCAGTGTACTTTGTCTTTGCTCTTGTTCCTGCCTTGTCTAGCATCTGGATGCAGAAGATCTGGATGCAGTGAAAGACTCAAAGGCCTAAATGATGGTGGAGTCACAATATGGGAGGAGTCTGCATCCTTGAATCATCACAGGGATTAAAGCCTCCACCCTGATACTGAACTATATTTGACTGTACAATAAACATTTATAATAACTCACTGAAATTTTGCATTATTTCTTACAACAACTAGCTTTTATTATACTACTATGACTGCACATCATTCATGTGAGCAAAATGGTCACTCTTTTAAACTTCAAATTACCTTGGTTTAAAATAGTTTTACTCAGTGTGTGTTCCTCTTCAAAAGAGCTTTGATAAGCCTCATTACCTATAAATATTTTTCTGTATAGTTCCAAATGTTAAAATAACTTAGTAGAGATGCAGATATTTATAGCAGTTAAATACTGATTTATAAAACCACACAATACTAGTACAATTGATGGAAAAACTCATAAACTAAGTAAAATATATTGAAACTATCTGCCAGAAAACCTGCATTTTCCATGATTTGAATGGGCCACTTCAATGAACAGAACAAATAAAATGGCTCTTGTGGCCATAACTCTCACAAAGAAAATTATTTCTGATAACAATACCATCCTTTTCTGTAAATGTATACTACGCTCAACTAACAAGGGAATCTTTACTTTGCTACATCATTACCAAATTGGTAAATAAATCTAAGTCTTCATGTCAACATTTCAAGAAGGGCTCCCTAAAGCTTGTAAATTGTCAAAGATATCAGATTTTAAAGGATATGAACCTCTTAAAAAGTACTTGGATGAAATGTTATGTTCAGAATCTCAAATATGAATTCATTGTGTTCTTGTCAGAAGTTACATCATCAGGGTCCTGAGCTGGTGCTGGTTCAGTCCCAAGGAAAAGAGGAAACTTGTGTATTACTCAGCCCTGGCAGATGAGTAGATTCTTCTATAACCTTTTCATCACCAAATGTCTCAACGAATTTAAAAACTAAAGATTATTTCTTGATTTGGCCAGGTTCCTTGTAATCTTGACAGTAAGAAGCTCAGAAAAATTTCCTTTGCTGTGCATCATGTATGCTTTACTCAAAGGCCGAAAAGACATAGAATGCTTCTTCTGAACTTTCATTTAACCAGCGGAATTTGTGAGGGTATAATATTCATATATTTTATTGAGGAGATATAAGCAATATCTCTTAACATGTAGTTTTTAATTGACTATTAAGATACACAATCTTTTAAAAATTTCAAAATGACTCAACCCAAATTATTTAGAATATGATTTATTTCAAAACATTTTTAAAATTCCTTCCTTCCACAATTGTTTATTTTGTCTATCCAGTTTTGTAATAAATGCTATATATATAAAGATGGTTCCTGGCATTAAACAACATCTGCAAAACAGTGAGCAAGAACAAGATATTTCTAGAGGTAAGTAAGGTCCACTAAAACAACATAAAATCATAGTTAATAACATCATAAAGTCAATGGCTGATTCTATGTTTTAAAATCAGACAAACAAACCAATAAAGATCACACCTAAAACATGTGCAACTGTATAGCATAAAGGAGTTCAGAATGAGACTCAACCAAATTATTGCGATCATGAATATTACACATCCTGAGAAACAGGAACTGTCATAGCAGTCTTGACCACATGTTCACATACTCAAGTTGGATAAAAGGAAAAGTCCAAAATCTTGGCACACCAAGGTAAAAAGGTGGATATATATTTAATTAACATTTAAAACAAATTTTCCCATTTCTCCACAAAGAGCTCATTTTTTAAATCTTAAGGTTTAGTGAAGAAGAGATTTCAAGCCCACTGCAAAATGAATAACATTCTTTTATTATGCTGTTGATCTCCAAATATGCAAATGCCTTTTTCTTTAAAAAAAATAGTGGTAGTTTGAAATCAGGTAGCATGATGCCTCCAGCTTTGTTCTTTTTGTTTAGGGTTGTCTTGGCTATAAGGAGCTCTTTTTTGGATCCATATAAAATTTAAAGCAGAGTTTTTTTCTAATTCTGTGAAGAAAGTCAATGGTAGCTTCATGGGGATGGCATTGAATCTATACATTACCTTGGGCAGTATGGCCATTTTCGCAATATTGATTCTTCTTATCCATGAGCATGGTTCCATTTGTGTCCTCTCTTATTTCCTTGAGCAGTGGTTTGTAGTTTTCCTTGAAGAGGTCCTTCACATCCCTTGTAAGTTGGATTCCTAGGTATTTTATTCTCTTTGTGGCAATTGTGAATGGGAGTTCACTCATGATTTGGCACTTTGTTTGTCTATTGCTGGTGTATTAGAATGCTTGTGATTTTTGCACATTGATTTTGTATCCTGAGACTTTGCTGAAGTTGCTTATTAAGGAGATTTTGAGCTGAGATGATGGGGTTTTCTAAATATACAAACATGTCATCTGCAAACAGAGAAAATTTGACTTCCTCTCTTCCTATTTGAATACCCTATGTTTCTTTCTCTTGCCTGACTGCCCTGGCCAGAAGTTCCAACACTATATTGAATAAGAGTACAAGGCTACAGTAACAAAACCAGCTTGATACTGATACCAAAACAGATATATAGACCAATGGAACAGAATGGAGGCCTCAGAAATAACACCGCACATCTACAACCATTTGATCTTTGACAAACCTGACAAAAACAAGCAACGGGGAAAGGATTCCCTATTTAGTAAATGGTGTTGGGAAAACTGGCTAGCCATATGCAGAAAACTGAAACTGGATCCCTTCCTTATACCTTATACAAAAATTAACTCAAGATGGATTAAAGACTGAAATGTAAGACCTAAAACCATAAAAACCCTACAAGAAAACCTAGGCAACACCATTCAGGACATAAGCATGGGCAAAAACTTCATAACTAAAACACTAAAAGCAATGGCAACAAATGCCAAAATTGACAAATGGGATCTAATTAAACTAAACAGCTTCTGCATAGCAAAATAAACTATCATTAGAGTGAATAGGTAACCTACAGAATGGGAGAAAATTTTTGCAAGCTATCCAGCTGACAAATAGCTAATATCCAGAATCTACAAGGAACTTAAACAAATTTACAAGAAAAAAAAAACATCAAAAAGTGGATGAAGAATATGAACAGACACTTCTCAAAAGAAGGTATTTATGTGGCCAACAAACATATTTTAAAAAGCTCATCATCACTGGTCATTAGAAAAATGCAAATCAACACCACAATGAGATACCATCTCATGCCAGTCAGAACAGAGATCATTGAAAAGTCAGCAAACAACAGATGCTGGAGAGGATGTGGAGAAATAGGATCGCTCTTAAACTGTTTTTGGGAGTGTAAATTAGTTCAACCATTGTGGAAGACAGTGTGGCGATTCCTCAAGGATCTAGAGCCAGAAATATCATTTGACCCAGCAATCCCATTACTGGGTATATACCCAAAGGATTATAAATCATTCTACTATAAAGACACATGCACACGTATGTTTATTGCAGCACTGTTCACAATAGCAAAGACTTGGAACCAACCCAAATGATCATCAATGATAGAGTGGATAAAGAAAATGTGGCACATATACACAATGGAATACTATGAAGTCATAAAAAGAATTACTTCATGTCCTTTCCAGGGACATGGATGGAGCTGGAAACCATCATTCTCAGGAAACTAACACAGGGACAGAAAACCAAACACTCCGTGTTCTCACTCATAAGTGGGAGTTGAACAATGAGAACACATGGACACAGGGAGGGGAATATCACACACCTGAGCCTGCTGGGGGTTGGGGGGTAGGGGAGGGATAGCATTAGGAAAAATACCTAATGTAGATGACAGGTTAATGGGTGCAGCAAACCACCATGGCACACGTATACTTATGTAACAAACCTGCATGTTCTGCACATGTATCCAAGAACTTAAAGTATAATAATTAAAAAAGTGGTAAAATAAAATGAAAATCAAAGTATTTCTTAGCTAGTATATTTCATATTATGTGTAAGGCCATAGCAAAATAAATCAGTATATCTTGGTGGCAAATGATCAATTGACAAAGCCTTCTAGAATGAGTCATCTCAAAACTGGTAAGAAGGAAGTCACTCAGTATAAGCAGAAAGGGAATATGGATTTGACAGAGTATTCAAACTACACCGAAGCTTAAACACCACTTTACTGTTCATTTTATATACAATAGATCTGAACTCTAAGAGGCCTGCAATCATTTAAAGTTATTGAATTAGTTTATCAATAGATTTTAAGCATTAATTTGGTTGAGTCTCATTCTGAACTCCTTCATGCTATACAGTTTGCACATGGATGATACTCAGATGAAGTATTCTGATTGACTTTTCTACATTTCACAAATCAAACTCAAACAATATACAATCATCTTGAATGAAGTGGTATGAGATTAGTAGCAAAAGGCTGAAAGAATCAGAAATGAGTTCTAATACTATGTCATTGATAAACAATGGACATTTTAACTTCAGGATACTAATTTTGAAAATGGAGACACTACATTCTGTTCAACTATTGGGACTATAAAGAAACTAGAGTAAGATCATGAAAATGGTAAATATCATAAGTTATTATCTCCAATTATCACAGGAAAGTTTGCAATTAAATACCATTTTCCTTAAAAGAGTAAGAATATATTTCAACTATGAAAAGTTTTTTTCTATATATGTATTTTTTTCTTAAAGTGGAGGTACAATTACACTACATAAATTAGTTGAGAATGCCACACCAAATATTGTATATGCTTTTCTC